>NC_000012.12:28000820-28153515 GCF_000001405.40 Homo sapiens | reverse complement strand
CTGGCCTAGCAAAACATGGGCCATAAATTTGCAACCTCTGAAGTATAATTACTATGATCTTCCTTAAGACCTGTTAAAAATTTCCCTTCATGAGAAAAATTTCCCTGAAGATTCCCGTTCTTTGTCCTTATTTTCCATTTCTTCAGTAATCAATACGCAGCATGGCTTACATTGCTAGATGTTTGCTTTTGCTATTTAGTTCATATGTGCATATGCTATTTCTCAATATTTTGGAAATTCATTTTGGGGAAGCAAGGGTCATGTGTTTTGATTCTTTTGTCCCCGTGTTCTAGAGATAATCTCCCTCCACTTATATACTTAAAAACATGCTGGTCGAGCTTAAGAAATCCCTATCAAAACCATATGCTGAAGAATGAAACTGGACTCATATCTCTCACCATATACAAAAATTAACTCAAGAAGGATTAAAGACTGAAATGTAAGACCTGAAACTATAAAAATCCTAGAAGAAAACCTAGGAAAAACTCTTCTGGACATTGGCCTAGGCAAAGAATTTATGACCAAGTCCTCAAAAGCAAATGCAATAAAAACAAAAATAGACAATGGGACTTAATTAAACTAAAAACCTTTGCACAGCCAAAGAACCAATTATGAGTAAACAGATAACCCACAGAATGGGAAGAAATATTTGCAAACTATGCATCTGATGAAGGGCTAATATCCAGAATCTACAAGGAATTCAACTTCACAAGAAAAAACAAACAACCCCATTAAAAACTGGGCAAAGGACATGAACAGACATTTCTCGAAAGAAGAAATACAAGCAGCCAACAAACACATGAAAAAAATGTCCAATATCACTATCATCAGAGAAATGCAAATTAAAACCACACTGAGCTATCGTCTAACACCAGTCAGAATGGCTATTAATAAAAGTCAAAAAAAACAACAGATGTTGGCATGGATGCAGAGAAAAGGGAATGCTTATACACCATTGGTGGGAATGTAAATTAGTTAAACATCTATGGAAAACAGTATGGAGATTTCTCAGAAAACTGAAAAATAGAACTACATTGGACCCAGAAATCCCACTACTGGGCATCTACCCAAGGAAAAGAAGTGTAAAAAAGACACCTGCCCTCATGTTTATCACAGTGCTATTCACAATAGCAAAGTCAAGGAACAAACCCAAGTGTCCATCAATGGTTGACCAAATAAAGAAAATGTCATATATATACACCATGGGATACTACTCAGCAATAAAAAAGAATGAAATCGTATCCTTTACAGCAACATGGATGGAGTGGGAAGTCATTATCCTAAGTGAACTCACTCAGACACAGCAAACCAAATACTGCATGTTCTCACTGGTAAGTGGAAGCTAAACAATAAGCACACATGGACATAATGATTGAAATATCAGACACTGGGAGTGGCGATTCCTCAAGGATCTAGAACTAAAAATACCATTTAATCCAGCCATCCCATTACTGGGTATATACCCAAAGGATTATAAATCATGCTGCTATAAAGACACATGCACACGTATGTTTATTGCAGCACTATTCACAATAGTAAAGACTTGGAATCAACCCAAATGTCCATCAATGATAGATTGGATTAAGAAAATGTGGCACATATACACCATGGAATACTATGCAGCCATAAAAAATGATGAGTTCATGTCCTTTATAGGGACATGGATGAAGCTGGAAACCATCATTCTCAGCAAACTATCGCAAGGACAAAAAACCAAACACCGCATGTTCTCACTCACAGGTGGGAATTGAACAATGAGAACACTTGGACACAGGAAGGGGAACATCACACACCAGGGCCTGTCGTGGGGTGGGGGGCAGGGGGAGGGATAGCATTAGGAGATATACCTAATGTAAATGACGAGTTAATGGATGCAGCACACCAACATGGTACATGTATACATATGTAACAAACTTGCACGTTGTGCATATGTACCCTAGAACTTAAAGCATAAAATATATATATATATATATATATATATATATATGTGTGTGTGTGTGTGTGTGTGTATATATATATCAGACACCGGGAACTCCAAAAGAGGGGAAGGTGGGAGGTGGGTGAGGGTTGAAAAACTACCTACTAGGTACAATGTTCAGTTGATGGGTAGGCTAAAAGCCCAGACTTCACCACTACACAATATATCCCTGTAAGAAATCTGCACCTGTAACTCCCAAATCTATTTTTTAAAAAAGGAAAGCAAATCCCTATCAAAATTCTAATGGCAATTCTTCACAGAAATAGAAAAAACAATCCTAAAATTTGTATGGAACCACAAAAAAATCCCAAAGCAATACTGAGAGAGAAAAAGTCACAGGCATCACACTTTCTGTATGTTACAAAGCTACAGTAATCAGAACAGCATGGCACTAGCATAAAAGCAGAAACATAGACCAATGGAACATAATATAGAGCCCAGAAATATATCAAAACTTAGATGGCCAACTTATTTTCAACAAGGGCACCAAAAGGACACAATGGAGGAAGAATAGTCTCTTTAATAAATATTTACTGCAGGTACTGGGAAAACTGGATCTCCACATGCAGAAGAATGAAATTGAATCTTCATCACAAAAATCAACTCAAAATGAATAAAAGACCTAAATGTAAGACCCGAAACCATAAAACTTCTAGAAGAGAACATAGGGGAAAATCTCCTCAATATTGGCCATAGGGGAAAAGCTCCTCAACATTGGCCTTGGCAGTAGTTTTTGGATATCAATCCAAAAGCACAGGCTACAAAAGCAAAAATAAATAAAGGAGACTACATCAAACTAAAACACTTCTGCATTGCAAAGGAAACAATCAACAAAGTGAAACAGCAACTTACAAACTGGGAAAAGTATTTGCAAACCACATATCTGATAAGGGGTTAATATCCAAAATTTATAAAGATCTCTAACAACTCAACAGGAGAAAAACAATCTGATTAAAAAGTGGGGAAAGGACTTGAACAGATATTTCTCCAAAGGAGAAATAAAAATGGCCAGCAGGTGTATGAAAACGTATTCAACGTCCACTTAGTATCAGGGAAATGCAAATCAAAACCACTATGAGATATCACTTCATACCCGTAAGGATAGCTATTAGCAAAAAGACAAGAGATAACAAAGTTGGTGAGGGATGTGGAGAAAAGGGAACTCTATTACACTGTTGGTAGGCATATAGATTGGTGCAGCTATTACAGGAAAGAATATGGAGGTTCTTAAAGAAATTAAAAACAGAACTACCATAGTATCCAGCAGTCCCTCTTCTGGGTATATACCCAAAGGAGGTGACATCACCACCTTTTAAAGATATCCACAGTCCCATGTTCATTACACCATTATTCACAATAGCCAAGATATGGAAACAACCTAAATGTCCATTGACAGACAAATGGATAAAGAAAATGTGGCAGGTGTGAGTGTGTGTGTGGCACACACTCATATGGAATATTATTAAGAATAAGATCCTGCCATTTGCCACAACATGAATAGACCTGGGGACATTATACTAAGTGAAATAAGCCAAACACAGAATATTGCATGATCTTACTTAAATGTGGAATTAAAGAAAAAAAATAGCCCAGATACACGGAAATGGAGAATGAAACAGTGGTTACCACTGTGGGGTTGCAGGGAGAGGAAATGGAGAAACATAAGTCAAAGAATACAAAATAGCAGATATGAAGGATAGAGAGGCTTAGAGATCTAATGTACAGGGATAAAGTTAATACAAATTTGTATTGGATTGGATTTCTGTTAAATAAGTAGATTTTAGCTGCTCTTGTCACAAAAAGATAACGATGTGAGATGATCGATATGCTAACCTGCTTCACTACAGTAACCATTTTACTATCTACATGTATCACATAACAACATGAAAAACTCAAATATACACAGTAAAATTTATTGTTAAAAAAGAAGGAATTGCTACTACCAGGCTAAGATCTTCTGAAAAAAATTGTCTCTCTAACATACATGCAGCATTATCTTTAATTTCTCAGAAAGAAATGAATAGGAAAGTAGGAGAAAGGGATTTAGAGTGCGTAAAAAGAAGCTGACTGGCATTTCTTGCAGCTTACTTAATGATAATCAGCCTATTGTCAAGAAAGATAAATCATGTAGTGAAAAGAGAAGTGCATCAAGAATTCTCCCATATAACCTTGACCTATAGAATAGTGTGTTTCGGATGGGGAGTGGAGGCAAAATGGGAGTAGCGTTTCTGATAACACAAAGTGGGAGTAGCTTTTCTAATGGACACATTTTAGAATATCTGCTTAATATCCGCTTGGCCTACAATGATCCCTTTAACTATTTCTGCTTCCAGCTACAGAGATATATGCCTGGAAGCCATGTTAGGCAATGTGATTGTACTTTTGGACCACAGCTGACTGTATTCTGAGAGGATATTCAATCCAAACTGGAAGGCACCTTTGCAAAATCATGACAGTAAGAAAAATGTGACATAGCTGACTCTATCTTGCGTCTAACCTCCGAGCAGACCTTGTTCATTCCTGGGTGTAGGCCAAGGTAACTTCAGGAGGAATTCAGTTTATAGTTTAACCTTACAGCAAGGAAGATAATAGCCCTTCCCAAAAACTGCTCCCTCCTTGCTTGGGTATTGAAATCACATTTGTAAAACTAACGAATTAGTCACAAGATTAGAAATTATGGTTCAAGAGTCATGTAGCCAGAGGTCACAAGCATTATAACCTCCCAATTGTACCTATAGATAACATCACTATTTTAAAACCTAAGGTTAGTGTCACAGGTATTTTTCAGACCCTGCTTTCTGATGCACCTGCTAGTGCCACCTGGACCCGTAAACTGGCTCAATCGGTCTTGTGATCCCACCCAGGAACTGAAGACTGCAAGAAAACAGCTTTGATCTGTTGTAATTTCATCACCAGCCTGACCAATTAACATTCCCCATTCCCTAGCCCCCTGCCTGCCAAATTATTCTTAAAATAACCCTAGTTTCCGAATTTTCAGGGAGACTGATTTGAGTAATCAACTCCCGTATTGCACATGGTTTAGCCCTGCATTAATTAAACTCTTGCGTTATAGCAATACCACTGTCTCAGTGAACCAGCTGTACCTGTGCAGCCGGCAAGAAGCATCCATTAGGCTTACAAACTGAACCACTGTGTTTCCCTCAGGGGTTTGGAACTGTGGTTGGAGAGAAAGAGATTCAGTATTCTATGCTTAGGGCATATTTAATGTTGTAGCATATAAAGTAGGGCTATATTCTACCTTTTTGACTAAGACATAGAGGAAGCAGGATTGAAGAAACACAGAAGAATGAAGGAGAAATGAGAAATGAGAGAGAATCTGCCTGGTTTCAAGACAGCCTTCCTGTTGCCAGTTCCAGTCATTCTGCTTTTAGTTACAAGCAAAAAGCAGCCTTAGTCTTCAAGATTCTTCTCTGTCTTCAAACTCTGTAAAGATATACATTCAGGTTTTCTCATCTGTAAAATAGAGGCTGGGAGTGGGAAAAGTAGATAACAGAGTACTTCATTTGTGGGACTCAAAAAACCATGTAGTCAGACAAAACTGTTTGCAAAAGCTGTACTGTCTGGAATAGAAGGCAGAATTCAACATAATGACACACACCTTACTTTCCACCTAAGGTGATAATATAGAGTTCAGAAAAAGAGTTTTTTAGAGCTGTGAAGCTGGCTAAGGTAATGTCTGAAATAGGTTTTAAATTTCCCAAATGTGAGAACCATATGGATTCGAATCACTTTATGCATTGCATTTTTTCTACATATGTAAGGAAACAGAGAGAGGCTCAGGTATGTTAGTACATAATTGTCATTAGATTACCTCTAACACTTTCGACTTTGTACAAAGTAAGTGCATGTTGAATAGCTTTAAAAATTAATGCTTGAGGCTGGGCACGGTGGCTCATGCCTGTAATCCCAGCACTTTGGGAGGCCAAGGTGGGCAGATCACCTGAGGTCAGGAGTTCAAGACCAGCCTGGCCAACATGGCGAAACACCATCTCTACTAAAAATAAAAAAATTAGCCAGGCACGGTGGTGGGCTCCTGTAACCCCAGCTACTCAGGAGGCTGAGGCAGGGAGAATCGCTTGAACCCGGAAGGCAGAGGTTGCAGTGAGCCGATATCGCACCATTGCACTCCAGCCTGGGTGACAGAGTGAGACTCTATCTCAAAAAAAAAAAAAAAAAAAAGAAAAAGAAAAAAGAATTAATGCTTGATCCATCAAATAAACTTAGTAAAGAGAAAATAATAAAAAATACTATGATATATGGTTACACTGTTACACATTTTGCTGAGCAGATTTCATTTCACTGAGTGATTTTCCTTTCTTTCTAGTTGTTGGCTTCAGTCCACATACTCTTCTGTGTAAATAGAATAGAATCTTATTGTAGGGCAAAAGGCTATTAACATAGAGGTCGGTCTGCTATAGATCAAACTGTGCTCCTGGAAACATAACTATAGATGAGAAAAACCTAAGATGAAAAAATTATTCTTAAAAGCAGATGTTTGTAGCAGTCTCCCAAATCAGAGCACCTCTATGGAATAGAGCCTTTTTCCTTTATTTTAGAGAAAAATGTTTCCTTTCTTAAAAACAAAGAAAGAGAAGAAGGAGGAGGAGGAAGAGGAGGGGGGAGAAGGAGGAAAAGAAGAAAGGAGGAGGAGGAGAAGAAGAAAGAAGGAGGAGGAGGAGGAGATCTCCTTCTCCTTTTATTCATACTCAAACTTCTTGAAAAAAGTAACCCACCCTGATGTTGTTACTCCCTCCCTTCCTTTTTCGCTCTTGAATCCATTGCAGTCTGACTTCTCCCTGCTTTGCTCCCAAAACGTTGTTCTTGTGATGGCTTCCAAAGACTCTGTAGCTTTAAAATCTGATGAGCACTTTTCAGTTATTATCTCAACCTATTTTACAAAAAAATTTAAAATATTTACCAAGCGCCATTTGAAATGTTTGCCTTTATATGGCAATTACTTAATCTTCTACTTCTATTTGCTCCATCTTCTCCTTCCTTAGTTTCTTTTTCTACATTAGTTTCTTTTACACTCTGAATTTTCTCCAAGATAAGATTTTGTCCTTACACTTGTTTTTTCTCCCCTTCCTTCCTTCCTCTTTCTTCCTTCTTCTTTTCTTTCTTTCTCTCTTTTTCTTTCTTTCTTTCTTTCTTTCTTTCTTTCTTTCTTTCTTTCTTTCAGTGGGGTCATGTTTTGTCACCCAGGCTGAAATATGATTCCTGAGCTCAATGATCCCCCTGCCTCAGCCTCCTGGGTAGCTAAGACTACATTAGTCCACTTTCATACTGCTATGAAGAAATACCCGACTCTGGGTAATTTATAAAGAAAAAGACGTTTAATTGACTCACAATTCCACATGGCTGGGGAGGCCTCACAATCATGGTGGAAGGTGAAGGAGAAGCAAAGGCACAACTTACATGGCTGCAGGCAAGAGAGTGTGTGCAGGGGAACTGCCCTATATAAAACCATCAGATCTCATGAGACTTACTCACTGTCACCAGAACAGCATGGGAAAAACCTGCCCCCATGATTCAATTACCTCCCACCAGGTCCTACCACAACATGTGGGGATTATGGGAGCTACAATTCAAGATGAGATTTGGGTGGGAACACAGCCAAACCATATCACCTGGCTTCTTAATTTTTTTTTTTTTTTTTTTTTGTAGAGACAGGGTCTCACTATTTCACCCAGACTAGTCTCGAACTCCTGGCTTCCAGAGATCCTCCTGCTTCAAGCTCCCAAAGTGCCGGGACTTGCACTTGTTGTTTTCTTCTATACACTCTCCCAGGGTAATCTCACCGACTCCTATAATATCAAGTACCATGTATTTATGACTCTCAACTTTTTATCTTCAGTATAAACCCCTCTCTTGAACTTCAGACTTGCTAGGCTCCTAATAGATATCCTGCTAAATCTATCACAAATGCCTTAAACTTAACATATCCAAAATTAAATTCTCTTTTATCATCTTTCCAGTCCAACTTCCTTTCATTTAATTATATCTTAGTGTCCAAGTTAGAAACTTCGGGATCACTTCCTCTTCCTTACTCACGTATCCAATCAGTCATTCAGTCTCAGCGACTCTATGGATATACATGGAATCCACTCCAGCACCACTGCTTCTGTCTCGCTTCCAAGCCTCATCATTTCCTGCCTGTTCTGCTGCAGTAGCCTCCTACCAGTTCTCATTGCTGGCAGGCTCTCCTACCTTTTTTTCCTCTTGAATCTGTAGCCTACATTTTTGCTTCTGGTACTTAAAGCACAAAACTATGTTTCTTCTCTGTTTAACACCTTTCAGTGACTTAGAACACCCGTAAGAAAAAACATCACCTCCTTTCCTTGATGAACATAAACAGCCCTTCCTGATTTGGCTCCTTCTCGCCCCATTAATTTTATCTCCCTGATTTGCCTTACTGCCTTACTGAACCACTACCTAGGTTCAGCCTCGACTGTCTTCTTGCAAACATGCCATGCTAGTTCACATTTCAATGTTGCTCGACAGGCTGGTGCATTTGCCTGAAAGGTTTTCCCCTCTTGTGCACCTGGCAAATTCCTGCTCAGTCTTTGAAGATTCCATAAACATCACCCCTTATGTGCATCTTCTTATGATCATTCTCGTAAATGAGCATGGAGGTGCAATGTCTCCATTAGCATTTTTCTCATTATGTGGTAGTTTATAACATGAGGGGGACTCAATCAATCCTAGAGGCCTGTAAGGCTAGCAAACATGTCTCATTCATCTTCACTTCAGTGGTTTAATTATACTTAGTGCATAATATGTGCTCAATGCATGTTGGTTGAATGAATAACAAATGAATAGAGAAAATGACTAGAGACAGAGAATAGCTGAATGAAGGAAGGTGTTTGGTACTTCTTTCCCGTGCCATTTGGATTGCATATAATATTATGAAAACATTTTCTTAAATCTCTTAAAAACTAAGTTTCAGAGAAACACAGAACTGCATGACAAAGCAACAGCTCAAAAACCAAACACCTTCATAATGAAAGAAATGGTTACTTAACTCAAGACAAGTATCTGAACTAATTTAAAAGAGAAACGTTTGCCTGTTCTTACTAACTGATGAAATAAGAGCAATTAGGTCTGGCTTTTTCATTGTTAAGTCTTCCATTAGAAATATTTGGAAAATAGTAACCAATCTTAACAGCCTGTGGGGTCAATCCTGCCCAGTGAACAAAACATGGACGTGTGCGTCACCATGTACCTTGCAAAATCCTCTAGCAGGCCTGCATCTACATGCACGTCGCTGACTTTATAAGATCCTGTACGTGACAATACACACATCAGCAGTAAGTCTAGACTACGAGGTCATATTCAGAAACTTATGACTTCAACAGGGGTGGAGATTGTGGGGGAACAGAGCCTAGATCGGGTGAACTTCTAAACAGAAAAGGCATTTGTGTGCTCGTGCAAAAAAGGAACAAGGAAAGAAACATATTAACAAAAGAATACTTGTCATAATTCTGGGAACTATCGGAGCAAAGAATTATGAATTTAAGCAATCCAATACCTAGTTAATTGTAATGACTGATATAACTTTTCAGGAAGAAGATTTCTACTAATTCTTGGATAAGAATGGGGTGAAGAATAGCAATCAAAAGTGCAGATTAAGATCAGTTTGCAAAAGAAATTTCCATCTAATTTAAGAAAATTCTGTCTTTGGACAATATGTGATGTCAGATTGTAAAAACAGTGACAAGCCAGAATATTTCTTTGAATAGGAAGCTGAAATAAAAGAACGTCCATAAGCCACAGGCCTGGCCAGAATCTATCTTTCTTAAACATATTTTAAACTGTTGTCTCATTCCTCACTTGCCATACTCTAGTTTTAACCCCAATCCTTTTCCCTTTTTGTCCACAGCAATTGTTCATCTCTTTTCTAATAATTTTTCTCTTTTTATTTGGGGAGAGGGGTGACTTTACCTATTCCAGAAACCAGAAGAACCAGGCACAGGCACAGCCAAATTCTGTTAAACCACAAGTCTCACTTGAACACCAAATGCATAGAAAACAACAAAAAAAATTGAGTAACATTAACTTTTGTGTTATTTTTGAATCTTCTTAGCAAAGCTATAAAAAATTATTCCACTAATATTTCCACTTAAATCCTTAAATTACCAATTTTGAGCAGAAATAATAAGTGGTAGGCTATCATTACTTTGTATTCCATTAATTTGGAATTTATAATGGAAAAAAAAAGCCTTGCCATTTTGGTTAGACCCAGATTCATTCAACTCGGGTCTCTTGTCTCTGGCAAGAAAAATAAAAGATGTTTTACAGGGAAATGTGTGGTTGAATTTCCTAATGTCCAACTAAAATATTTAGAATCATACTCCTGAATTCTTCATTTTCTCTTAATAATCTAGTATTAATTTTATTATGCAAGAATTCTTTCTTTAACCCATTTATATATGCTGTCTCCATTCTCTTCTGGGGGTAATGTGAGATTTCTGTCTATCATATAAAGAAATACATTTTTTTTCTAAATTTCTGCTTAATATTTTTTATGGATATGCACCCATTTTTTATGACTGTCAGTATACTTCATGATTTTAGAAACTTAGGTTTTTTGACACCTTGCTGTTATTTTCCAGCTGTTGATTCTTAACTTTTACTCCTTCTCCAGATTATTTATGCCACGCACTTGATTATCTAGCTTCTTGGGTCGAAGCATGTAATTATGGTTTAGTACGAAATATATCCATTGTTAGGGACTTTTTTTTAGCTTGTTTTGATTGTGGTTGTCTATAGGTTGCTGTTACCTGACTTCTCCAATAGCAGTTTTCAAGGATATCAAGTTTCTTGTTTATTTGATTATTAAAAGTGAAAATTAGGGCTTTCATTAATAAAAAATCCAACAAATAAAAAATCAAAAAATAAAATCCTAAATATTTTTCCTGCAAAGATAATTACAATTAACATGTTTCTGGACATTTTTTCTGTGCTCATATTTATATATTATTTTTGGAAAAAGGAAAAAAAATACAGCCATGATTCTCAACCTGAGAAGAATCTGGGAAGAAAAAGGATGGGGGTGGTGATTCCGAGCCACCTGGGATTCTTTCTCAAAGTACACATGGTTTCCTACCTTACTCTAATGTGACTTCCGCAAAAGCAAGTCAAATTTTTGAAGGAGGGGATAGACGGGTGAATGATATATCCTCTCTTGACACCCTTTTCACCTTTCCATTCAAGAATCACTGCAATGATGCCATTTTGTGATCTGTTACCTCTGAGTGCACATGTTTGTTCTTAAACAGGATTCCTAGTAATGGAATGGGCAAAGGGAAATGCATCTAAAAATATCTGGAATCTGTTGTCAGGTTACTGTCTGAAAAAAAGACTATCAATTTGTCTCCACCGATTAGCACGTTCATTTTCTCACTGCATCAATGCTCAATATTTTCACCTTTACAAATCTAATCTGTGAAGAATGTCAAGTTTCCATTTCTTTGATTAGTTACAAGAGAAGAATAGCCATTCATACATTTCTTGGTCATTTCTTGGTCTCTTCTTTGGTGAATTGCTTGTTTAGGGTCTTTGCTCATGTTTCTATTGGGGTATCTTCTTATTATTATTAATTTGTAAATGCTTCTCATATCTTAGATATATTAATGATTGCCATATATTAGATAAATATGAAACTTATGTGCAGTTTGCCACTAGTCTATATAGGTTTTCTTTTGATTGTAGAAATGTATAATGCTTATCCATTTATTTACTTACCCTTTTCTTTATGATTGTTAGCTTCTCTGACTCAAAATTATAAAACAATTTACCTCCATTAATATTATTGCTTCTTAGATACATTAAAATTTTTAATCCTGCTGGAACTTGTTTAAATACTCTTACTTCCTTTTTAAGCAAACATTATTCTGCAGTATTTTGACCTTAGTTTCTGAATATTCAACAAAGTATAAACAGGCATTATTGCATTTACTATTCTTGTTTAATGCTATTTAAAAAATAGAATTTTACTTTATTCTTTCTCGCACATTTTTTTTCCTGTTTGTTTTGTTGTCAATCGTAAGCAAGGTCTATTAATTCTACACACACAATATATCTTTTAAGAATTTTTTTCTTAAAAAAATTTATTTTATTTTAGAATAAAAATAAAATAAATAAAAATTTAAAAATTCCATTTTCATATGATCCACACAATTGCAGACCTCTCTGTATATTTCAAAGGTGATTTAAAATACAGCATAATTTACATACTGCTTTTCTATAGTGTCTGACACATTGCAGACTCTTGATAAGGATTTTTGAAATAGATAGACTGACACACCAAAGCAAGTACTTATATTATAGCAAATAGAGAGCACTTTAATAATACAAATAATGTGATGTTTTTTATTCATGTTCAGCATGGGTTTGCTAATCATTCATTTATTCACATTTTCATAATATAAAGTAAACATATTATTTAACACCCTGGGCTTTCCTGTCTTTCCCATAGAGTCTAGCCACTTTTACGAACCACTTAACAAGATGATTGGAAGATTAATATGATACAGATTCTCAAACTACTTTGAAAGAAAATGACGTTTTGCATGAAAAATGCTGTCATAGAAACAAAGAGCAGTGGCCATGGATGGTCTATTGCTGTTAGGAAAACAAGTGACAGCATGATAGAACATCAGCATGTTTTCTGCTGGTCAACAGAGGTTTGTGATTTTGATTTTGAAATAAAAATGAATTCCCCACACAAAAATTCATGAAGACAGGTATCACCCATCCTGCCAGACCACAGTGAGGAGGAGATTGATTGCAGGTTAGGTGTTTCCTGTGGGATCAGCTGTATCTATGATTATAAGTGGTGAGTATTCATTTCTCAGAGTTGATGTGTGTTGATGACACTGTCTGCACACTGCGGCTTGCCTCCAAGGCCTTCCACGTTACAGCCAAGCCATGATAGGAAGAGCTGCATTATGTAATGATGACCTACCTCATCTCCTTCTTACATAATACTTCACACTCTCATGGTGCTTTGTATTCATGTAGCAATTATTCCTCACAGAGTTTGAAAGAAGTAAGTTTCATTACTATATACATGTGAGTAATAGCAATATGTGCCATATAAATGTTTCACTAGAAAGCTAATTTGCAGAAGTCTGACTTGCCAAAGTTAATGTGCCACAACCATCATCCCAATGGCAAAATCAGAACTCGACTTTATCCACAAATATTTCTTTAGAAGCTGCTATGTGTCCACAGCTATGGTGAATGCAAGAACAACTTGCTTTTTCTTAAGAAGTCCATAGGGCTGGGCATGATGGCTCATGCCTGTAATCCCAGCACTTTGGGAGGCCAAGGCTGGCAGATCACCTGAGGTCAGGAGTTCGAGACCAGCTTGGCCAACATGGTGAAACCTCATCTCTACTAAAAATACAAAAATTAGCTCGGTGTGATGGTGTGC
The DNA here is from genome assembly GCF_000001405.40 of Homo sapiens. NCBI lineage: Eukaryota > Metazoa > Chordata > Mammalia > Primates > Hominidae > Homo > Homo sapiens. Next base: position 28,140,079 of record NC_000012.12, on the reverse strand, counting down.
ACCTGTAATCCCAGCTATTCGGGAGGCTGAGGCAGGAGTATCGCTTGAACCTGAGAGACGTAGGTAGCAGTGAGTCGAGATCACACCACTGCACTCCACCCAGGGTGAGAGTGAGACTCCGTCTCAAAAAAAAAAAGTTCATAGTTTGCAGAAGTCTTGAAACTCAAAAATACATGTAATTTTACAACCCATTATACCTCAAGCATTGCAGCTATCTGCCATAGGCTGAATGTGTGTGTCCCCCCAAAATTTGTATGTTGAAAACCTAATCACCAATATGACTGCATTAGGAGGTGTGGCCTTTGAGGGTGGTCACATCATGACTTCAGAGCCCTCATGAATGGGATTATAAGGGGCCCTGTAGAGTTGCATTTCTTTTTCTACCATGTGAGGACACAGTGAGAAGGCATTATATGTGAGCCAGGAAATGGGCCCTCACCAGATACCTAATCTGCTAGAGACTTGATCTTGGACTTTCCAGCCTTCTCAGAACTGTGGGGAAAAAATTATGTTGTTTATAAGCTACCCAGTATATGCTATTTTGTTATAGCAGCCTGAACAGACTAAGATACTACCTCCATGTGTAATTCAATACACCTAAGGAACAGAATGTTTAGAGCCAAACTCAGGCACCTAAGCTCGCTCACATCCCCAAATGATGGAGGATCTTAAGATTCCTGGGTTCCCTCTTGAGGGAAGGGTTGGTGCTATTTCTCAGTGGTCATGCTATTGAATTTTGGGATGGTATAATTCTTCCTATCATGGCTTGGCACAAAGAGAAGGGGATTCAGTCAGAATGAAAACTATAGTCTTCACACCTTTCCAAATGCCCCCTTGGAGGTGGCTCCCACCCCACGCAAGAACCACTGGACTGTGGGATGCTCTAGAAATATATTCTCTTTATTTTATCTGTGAAGATCCACAGGGAGTCACAGAAAGGAAAATCCCATTTTATTTAGAATGGTTGTAGTTATCCATGTTCTGGCTTTCAAAGTAGATCCTTCCATTCTTAAGATCCACTGTTTAAAAGATTAATTAAAATAAGCAGATTAGGATTTCTGGTCAGATATGGTGGATTGAACTCTTGCATTTATCTACATGCCCTACCAAGCCTCACAAAAATTACAGTTAAAGCATAAAAGCTTGTAAGGACAAAAAATGCAGGATAGGAGACAATATTGGATTGTATTGACAGCAGTTTTATAGATAAATCAGATAGAGAATTTGAGTATACACTAATAATAAGTACATAGAAAACAAAGAAGTCAAAATAGAACACATGTATGTGTGTTATGAATTGAATGTTTGTGTCCCCCTAAAATTAATTTGTTGAAATCTTAATGCCCAATGTGATGGTATTATGAGGTAGTGCCTTTGAGGAGTAATTAGGTTCTGAGGACAGAGCCCTCATGATGGGACGGTGCCCTTACAGAAAGGACCCCAGAGAGCATTCTCACCCTCTCTCTGCAATGTGAGGATACAATGTAGAGAAAGTGAGGATCGAATGAGAAGATGGCAGTCCGCAACCCAGAAGATGACCCTCACAAGACACTAAATTTTCCAGCTCCCTGATCTTGGACTTCCAGCCTCCAGAATTGTAAGGAATAAATGTTCATTGTTTATGAGCCCCCAGTCTAAGGCATTCTGTTAGAGTAGCCCAAATGCACTAAGACAATGTGTTACCACTAAGGAAAACCAAAAAAGTAAGCAAGAAAAAAAATGTAATCATAGCTCTTCATATGGTTTCGTAGTTAACAAAATAGAAAAATATAGACATTGAACATAATGTAAATCTTCTAGAATGAGGAAGGAATGTGTGTGTGTGTGTGTGTGTGTGTGTGTGTGTGTGTGTGTGTGTAAAAGAAATAGCAGCATTCTTATCTCCTATACTCAGAAGTCAAGGATAAATTCTAATATTGAAATACAAGGAAAGAAAGAAAACATGTCACTATTTGATTTAGAATGTCAGAAGAAATCAAGAGTTGAAAGATTGACTTTAGGGAGCAGGATTTGGGTGGAGAGAAGATAATCTAGGTAGCTGCTGTTTTTTATTATCATTCCCATTACACTATTTCACTTCTTAGATTATGTTCCTACTGTACTTTGATTTAATAGGAATAGAAGAAGTGGGGTGAAGAAGGACAAGGTGAAATCCAAACTTTTTCTGTGAAGTTATTTTGCAGATATTCTTTCACTATTCTTCCCTGTAATAGAAGTAGACAAAGTTTCTAGGGGTTAATTCCTTTGTCTCAAAATTAATAGTGCATTGGTAGTATTATTACTATAATTATTATCAGTCAACTAACATTATTTGAGCACTTACTACATGCCACAATTATTTAATTCTCAAAAAATCCAATAAATTAAGCAGTATTATTACCCCTACTGTACATATGAGGAAACTAAAGCTCAAGTGGCTTGCATAATTTGCCCCAGGTAGCATGGCAAGTTAAAAAAAAATTCAGTAAACAAACACAGTTCAAAAGAGCAACACATTTATCAGCTTACATCACAGAAGTCCCTTATTTTGACCTGTGAATTGTTCATCCTTTAAAAACTCCAGGAAACTTAGGGGAAATGTGATTTAGAAATTCATAGCACCTTTAATCTAAGCCCAATCAGACATCCAGAAGCTTCCCACAGACAGCCCTGCCAATGTACCTCAGTACTGACCTGCAGCACCTTTGGTTTTGGTCTCTTCTGAACTGAGTATGCCAAGAACACTAAATTATATAAAATGATGTCAGTGCTTTCATAATATAAATATTGCACTGAGGCTTTGGGACTACATCAGTAAAACCGAATTTTATAAGGGCTTTGATGAAAAGTCAAATTATGCAATTATCACTTCTGTCATGTCTAATGAAGATACACATCTAAAAGTTTAAAGAAGTAATAGAGATAGAAGAATGAAAGAAGAAAGTGACTTATCCAATTTGCTTTTTCAGTCTTCACCTTTCTCTAGCCAGTGTTCAAAAGCTCTATGCACATTTCCTTAAAAGGAACTTCTCCAAGCAGAATAACAAAGTAGAAAAAGGTTTTTTCAGTTCCTTTCCATTCTACTTTTTGGATGCCTTCAATTTTTATGACTCTCTTTTCCAGTGTTTCTTCCTAGATTGCTCTAGGGTGATGGGAGCTAATCTTGACAACCCTAAGACTGGCTTCAAAGGCTTCCCTGGGCTTTCTTTGGGACTCTAAGGGACAACAATGTCCTTTTTCTCCATAATGACAATGACATACCTTCCTTCAAAGAATTGACTCATTTGACAATTTGAATAGCGAATGGAATGAGTAGTACAGAACAGAAACAGAAAGCTTGAGGGAAGCATTTTATCATTAAAAACTAAGAGCTCATTTCTAATTTAGATGACTGAATGGATTTGGGACTGTTAAATTGTGATGGCAAACACTGAGAAAGGAGCAGGCTTTTATAAGAAAGATGATGAATTCAATTGTGATGAAGTCGAGTTTGAGGTTCCTGCAGGACATCCAAATGGAGATATCCATAGGCCTGTGTCCTGTTCAGGCCACTTTGCTAGCAGAATCCAGGAGATGCCATTGAATCCAAACTAGGGGTACAGTGCTGAGAATGGTTTCGGTCTTATTTAGGGTGTGGTACCATAGTCTGGACCAAAAAGAATGTTTTTCCAGACATCAAGGGATTGACAGAAATAGCTAAAATTCTCTGTTTTAGTTTCACTGCCTCCTCCTACCCTTCAGAGCTGTCCCTTCTAATTATCCTCATCTGTTTCTGCTTTAATTGCTTTTCTGGCTCACTGTTTACCCTAGGCTGGGGCTTGCAGATACCGCGCCACCACTCCCCTCTTCTGTGCCTGCAGAAGACATTGCTGATAGGACAAAGCCCTTTCCCATTGGGTCCTGGTGACCAATATGGCTGCTCTACCTAGGGTTCCCAGCAGCAACCCCCAAGCAGAGCTGGCACAAGAGAAGACACCCATTTCTCCCCATTGTCCTTGCCCAGGCCTAGGCTCTCCAGTCTGGATCCAATTATCTGTGTTTTCTTTGATATCTTTTTTCCTCTTATTTTCTAAACATTCCTACACAGTTTTTCACATTTCTGCCCCTCCTTGGTTACCAGTCATTATCTGGAGCTTCCAGCTTCCACACCAAGACCACAAATTTAACAGATTGAAATTATGGAGGTGAAGCAGAAAAGTCATGGACTGTGAATTCAGACAGATGTGGGTTCAAATCCCTGCTCTTTTATGTTACCTGACCCTCCTGGACCTCTGTTTCTACAGCTGTTGAAGGGTGAAAATAACATCAACCTTGCAAGATTGTTTAGAACCTAGCTAATTTACATAAATCTTCATACATGTACTTGATCAGTAAATATTTAGTTTTGTTACTGAGACCATTCTCAACTTCATGCATTTCCTTTCAAAAACCTTAAGTTCTCTGAGCACTGACTGTATGTTTTACTTATCTTTGTGTCTCTCACAATGCCTACCACAGTGTAGGTCCTCAATATGCCCTTAATATATTCTTCCTGAATAAATGGATAAATTACTTGATGATTTGGGGGGAGTAGAGATCCTTTATTTTTATTTTAAACAAATCAGAGTATATCACAGCAAGAACGCAAGTGATTATCTTCAACATAATCAGAGCTAGCGTTTACTGCATGCTCACTATATGCTAGATCCTGTTGTGAGTACTGCACATGAATTAACTCATTCAATCCACCCTCACAAGAGCCCTATGAAGAGGGTACTATGATCATCACCACTTAACAGATAAAATATTTGAAGTAGGGGAAAGACTATTTGTTCAAGGTCACCCAGCTAGTAAGCAGTGGAACAGGAATTCAAGATCAGATGATTTTTCTTCAAGAGGTTCTTAACTCCTGTGCTATACATACATGAAACATGAAAACAAAAATGCTGCTTCTGGCTGACCTTTTCAGGTTCTGTCCCCATTCCTTGGTATTCCCTCTCAGCTGTGGTTAGGACGACTTTGGTGAAAAAGTTGGAGAAGCTGTCCCTAAAGAAATCTTAGCACAAACATCCAAGCTCAAGCAACTTCCTTTTAGCAAATGCCCAAATTCTAACATTCAAAATAGATTCAGAAAATTTCCTCAAAACAAAACCAAAAATCTTTCAAAAAACTTTCAAATAAGAAAGCCACATGAGTTTGTAGACAGAATATCATGTTCCTTGTTCCCAAGGTCTAGCTGAAAAGTTGTTTACAAGTGTAAATTGATGACTTGCCCATGTCATTATCCATTTGCAGATTTGATTTATCCATCTTCATCTGAAAATATATCCACCTCATATGTGATTTTTGCATGCTGATGAGTGCACCTGGAATTGTGACATAGGAGATTGAGTAGGTAGGGGCTAAAGTGGGTGGCAAAGTGGGGATGTGCAAAGAGATAAAAAGAAAATGTGCTTTAACATATTCTGTCATATGAGCCTTTCTCTTTGCTGCATACTTCCTGCAGGGAATATTTCCTCAAAGAAAACTATACAAACAGGCCCCTTCTCCAGTTTATCTGCACCAAAAGTGCTTTTATTGTGTGTCCACACTTAGCAGGTTTGAGAAGAGGTCAAAGTAGTCTGCTCAAGCACCTCATGAATTCTTCGAGGGGTAGGTACAATTTTCCTTCCTTCTTGACAATTTTTCTTAATCTTCATCTCTTTGTTGCAGATTTTTTAGTATCTAATTATTAAGCAGAGAAAAGGCCATAGATAGTAACTGAACACAAATTTCAGGTTCTATCTCACATAAAACTTAACCCTTTCACTGTCAAAAGTTAATCTTTCTACACTACCAACCATAAAGACCAATGACTAGACCTCACATCTTCACTATCCAGGCCATTGATGAATAAAACAAACTCATATCCAGGGTTAAAGAACTGAAGCAAATCTAGAGGCAAGGCCAAGATGAAGAAGAAATTGGTGTTAGAGTGGAAAGAGCAGTAGACTGAGAGTCAGAAGCCCTGGATCCTGCTCCTTACCATTAAATCTAAAATATGACCTTGGGAAACGAACTTCCTTCCTTGACGTTGATATTGTCATTTGTAAAATAACAATAATGAATTAATAATAGTTGCTAACATTTAATGAGAACTCGTTAGAGATGTCAGGCACTGTTCTACACTTAAATGCATTAACTCATTTAATCTTTATAGTGGCATCATGTGTTTGGTGCTAATAATATCACCATTAACTAAGGCGCAAAGAGTTCAGTAACTTGCTCAAGTTCTGAAAGCTAGTAGGTGATAGCATCAATGTTACAGTTACATACCTAAAGTCCTTTTCAAGTCAAAAATTCTATTTTGTTCTAAATGTCTTTCCTCCTCACCACTGACAAAATCAACTCCAAACTCTCCTATTTATGAGTTTTGAAGGCATGCTTTATAGAGTTACAAAAAACTTTAGAATAAAAAAAACCCCAGCAATTAAAGCATTTTTATTTTGCATGTATAATTTCACATATTTCCTTTGGGAAATTTTACATAGTTGTAACAGGCCAACTTTTATTATAACTCAGAAATAAGAAAGCACAAAAGTATTTGGCATTGACTAGAAAAATATCTAAATATTCATATACTTTCATCTGGATGGAAAAGTAAGAGCTAACATTTATTAAAAGCTAAAATTCTTCTGAACACTGTTTAGAGCACTTTACGTATACTATCTCATTTAATCCTCACTTACTCATAAGGCAACAGCCTTGTGATATATCATCTCCATTTTACAGAGGGGATTAATAACTTACCCACAGCACACAGTGTAGCGAAAACTTTAGGATTTGAATCCAGTCACAGTCTTGACCCAAAGCCTCTTACTTAACTTCTGTCTGTGGAAGAAAAGTGAAATCATGAAAAATGGATTTTTGAAGTAAGGTAAACACCAGAGCCTGGGGAGTGCTGTATTAAGTATTTTAAATCCTGCTCAGAGGTTTAGAATGGCAAAATTAAGTCATGAACAAAAACCAGTCCATAATGACTACCGATCTTTGCCAATTTAAGCATATCATTAGAATTAAAATTAATTTTCCGTTATCTATGTCATCTAGGACTTGGAAAAGCACAAGGAATTCTAATTCTCAAAAGAAGCTCAGCCCTCACTTTAGTTAGTAGTTTCAGCCTTTTTCCTGACCAGACATTTTACAGAACAGCCTAGTTATTACAGCTTGTAAAATGGAATACTATGACATTTTGTGAGTTCTTTTTTCCTTTCTGACTTACGCTGCAGTATAAAATGACTTTGAAGTGGATAAAAGTGCGTTTAGAGAAAGAAAGGTTGAGGAGATACGTGTCCTGTGCCTGGACGCTATTTCAGAAGAATAATCAAGCCTAGTTAATTTGTTTGCCAAAATGTCTCTAAAATCTGTAACATATGAGATAATGTGTGAACCATTTTTCACTTTCCAATTTCTGCTTTAAAATGTGGAGAATTGAGTAAGTCTGAAGGCCGGTTACAGAATACCCTGGGTACACTGGCTAATAGATAAACCAAGTACATAGCAGCAAATGTGAGAAATGCAAGATAGGGTAGTATTTTCTTTTATCTAAGAAACCACAAGGTTTTCTGTTCTTCTGAAATATTTCATATTACCATTATGGAAGCACTGTTTCATGGTCACTGCAGCAAATAAGGTCAGGTTATTCTCTGCAGAGACATAAATATGCATTGCTGGAGACAGTTGGGTATCCTCTTTATAAGCACATTGACATAGGAAAGAATTTGTTTTTTTCAATAGGATGCTTCCATCAAATTCTTGCTATAAACATTTGATGTACTGTAGCAAATTAACATTTAAACACTGGGTTTATATGCTTTTTTGTTTGTTTTATAGCCACAAGGAAAACCCACCTTTTCTTAGCTTTTAGTATCATGAATCACAGACCTGTTATTTCCTCCTTCCCATCTACATTTTACCATTTTCAGACAAATAGCACTGTCTCCAGAAAAGCAGTAATTTCATTTTTGCCAGTTATGTTCTTTGTTCAGTTTCAATTTGACATCCCAGAATTATATAACTGAAAGGAACATTGAGAGATCATCTGTGCCAACCACCCCAGGAAGGCATCTTACAGTGTGCACCTACTTCATGGCTGGATAAGAGATTCTCTATTTGATAAATAGTCTCTTCCATTAAGATACCTATGTACATAAAGTGACCAATCAACAAGTACTTATTTTTGTTGCATGTAGAGAACTGTTACAGGTTTTATGGGAATCATTATAACAAACAGAAAAAAAATCTTATACCATAGTTTCCTTATCTATAAAATAGGGAGTGATACTCCTTACCTTACAGAATTGAGGTGACTTGCACATAAATCCACTGGAGTCGTTAGTACTATTAACCTATTTTGTAGATAAGGAATCTTAAAGTTCACAGAGGTTAAGTGCATCACTGTATTCTGCCCAATGTCATGAAGCAAGTAAGTGGCAAAGTCTTCATCTCGATCTTTTGATCTACAGGTTTTTTTTCTTCCAGTCTCTTGTTCTGTTTCTCCACCCACCTCTGAATACCTTATATTTACATAGCAGGACATATTTTATAAGTTTCTTCCACACACATTCTTATTTTGAGTAGATATTTTTATTTCACTAATGAAGAAACTGAAACATTGAGTAAATGGTTTGTCTGTGGTCATTTGGCTGGGGAGGCCGACCAGGTTTTAGACTCCTCTCTTCTGGGCCTGAATTAGAGAATTTTCCACTGCACCACATCAGTCAGCAGAGTTTACAATCTTACTTAGGAATCCACATAAACACACTTGAAACAAAGAAAAATTAAGTCTTAAAACTCTACACTACAAGTACTGGGGGAGATGAGTTCATGAGCTGAAGTGGTTTTTCAGTTTTCATACTTTCTCCATTCTTACCAGCTCTCTTCTCATTTTCTGAGGCCCGTACAGTTCAATTTTCTCCTTTCCCTACATCATTTCAGTCAATCTGTTTTGCCCTTGAACTTCATTTGACTTGTCTATTACATATTTCCAAGTGTAAGTATTACATTCCTTTCATCCTGGAACATGGTTGTCTTCACAAATGTTCAAATGTGCTTAGAACTATTTCTCTTTTTGTTAACATAGTGACGGATTGCTCATTATTTCACAGGGTTTACGTGTTCATACAGATTGTTAAATACCTTCCATGTTATTCCTCAGCTTATGTGGCTGTGCAGGAAGTTGTCAATGACTCAACCTTAGCTGCGTGCCAAGTACTAGAGCTGTGAGCAACCCCCATCTCTAACGGCGCGTCCTACGTCCTGCCTTTGCCTCCCACTGGAAAGCATATCTGCGGTGACCAGTCATATCTTGATTATTATTCCCCCAATGTTTTGGCCTAGCAGAAGGCCTTGTTCATTTTATAAGGCTGCCTTGTGTTCTTCCTAGTGGTGAAGTTAAGGCAAATAAAGAAGTGGCTTGAGCTGTGTGCCATTCTGGGGCCATGCTGCCTGGGCTCAATGAGCAGTTCTGCCAAAGCTTTGTGACCACTACTTAGCTACTCTGTGCCTCAGTTTCCTCATCTGTAAAATAGAAATAATAATTGTAGCTACCTCCTAGGATTATCGTATAGGTTAAATGAGTCAAAGAGCACAGGAGTCAAAGAGTTTGAGCAAATAAATGCTCAATGAATGTCATCTTCTACTGTGAAATTTTTTGTTAATCAGCGTAATATGGCTGGCATAATATAGGGAAGTTGATATATTTTATCAGCTCATTGAACCCTCCTGAGAACCTGAAAGACAAGTGTCACTATGACCATTTATGAGGCAGAGAGGATATTTGATTTGCCCAAATTATTATGACTAGAAAATGGTAGACTCAAAATATAATTCAAATTAGTCTGATTCTTGTATGCCAAATGATAACTGACAGCTGATATTTATTCAATGCTTATGACTCTTTTGTCTCTCATAACAATCCCTTAAAATTATATTACTATTATAATACACTTTTTACAGTTCAGGAAATTGAGGCTTAGTGAGTTCAAGTAACTTCTTAAAAATCAAGTCAATCTGACACTGATTCAAAATACAAAAATTTTTTGATAAGAAGAGCATCTCAAAATTAGATGGTTAAAATTGAGACAACTTGGTGATTTTTTTGATAAATAACTTCTATCTTTTGGAACAAAACATAATAGCAAGAAATAAAGCCTCTCTAATGGAGATTATATGTGAAAATATTATATATTGTAAGATTTAACAGGTCACCTGCAATTTAGTACATTTCTAAATGAAGTCTGAAAGAATCAAGTATTTCTTCCTCCAGATTATACCATAAACTGTATTTCATCAGTTCTAAGCACATTTTTTCATATTTTAAATTTTTCTAAATTAAGATACTCTTTAAAATTTTAACTGGAAAACTTTTCTCTTTAGTGATAAATAAGATAGCAAGCTTTTTATAGTCGATGACTTCTTCTTCTTCTTTCTTCTTCTTCTTCCTCTTTTTTAGATGGAGACAATCTTGATTATAGCTCACTGCATTCTTGAACTCCTGGCCTCAGGCAATGCTCCTGCTCCTGCCTCAACTTTCCAAAGTGCTGGGATTATAAGTGCACGCCATCATGCCCGACCTGACTTGATGACTTCTTAAGATTCAGTGAAGCCTGGTATTTTATATATTTATTTTCTATTATGTGATCTCATTATTAGGGCCTTCAAGTTTGTTTTTTATTTTAAAAAAAGCAAGCTCCTTGCTGGGGCCCATTAAGAAATGAGAACTCTCGCAAAAAATGCTTTTTTATTCATTCACAATGCTGCATATTTCACTGGTAGTTACAATAAATCACAAGCTGATAATTAATGGAGGGAAATATGTAAAGGGCTTTCCCTGGGCAGATTTAGGTGATTCTGTACAACAAAAATGTTAATCAAATGAGAAAGTCAGTATGCTGGTTGAACATTTCTTTTCTCAAAGATTCCTTTTGACTTCATGGAATTACAGTTCAAACATTTGCAAGCTCTTGTTTTTGAAAGATACTAATTACTGTCAAAATTCCCCTCCTCTAGTGTTCATTTAAAATTTCTTTTTCTCTGACCCAGTCTTTCAAATTTCCACCCCCAGTTTGACCTCAGGCTTTCATCCACCACTTGCAGACAAGAGTTTTATGGGCTTTTCCTGTCTTATTTGCTGGAAATAATTTTTGCTCCCCAGAAGAATATTCTTTCATCATAAATTTCTATCTGTTTGTTGTTTCTTTTCTGGATAATTAGGATAATAAGCATTTTTATTCTAGTCTTTTCATGGCTGAGACACCTATAACAAAAGACAGATTAACAAGAAAAAAGCATACATATTTATTTAAGTTTTACATAAAAGAGACTTCAGAAATGAAGACCCAAAAGAACAGGCAAATGTGCATTTTTATGCTTAGGTTTGAGACAAGGTGGATGGTTGTGGAAAAGTATGATTGGACAAAGGAGGTATGCTCTAATGGTAATAAACTGGGGGGAACTTAGCAAGGTCTGTTTGTTCATATTTTTCTCTGCATCCCTGGGTCATCAGAGATAAGGATGTTCTTTTCTTCTGGTATTAGAGAGAGCACCCTTCGCCTGAAGGTCTTATGACCTGCTTCAGGGTAGAAGGTAGAAGAGCGGGAGAAAGTCAGAGAGTGACTTTCCTAGATTTTCTGACCTGCTTCCGGCGGGAGAGATGAGGGGAGGGTAAAAGTGACCTTCCTGCTTCTGCTGTTTTCTCAAATGCCAACATGCTGTATTTTGGGGTTGCCCGTCCTAAACACCATCAATTGTAACAAATGTACCACACTAATACAAGATGATAGGGGAAACTGTGTTTGGGGAGTAGTGGGGGTGGAGGGTGTGTGTACAAGAACTTTTTGTACTTCCTGATGGATTTTTCTGTAAACCTAAAGCTACTCTTTGAAAAGTCTATTGGCTGAGTATGGTGGCTCACACCTGTAATTCCAGCACTTTGTGAGGCTGAGGCAGGAGGATCGATTGAGCCCAAGAGTTTGAGATAAGCCAATGCAATACAGTGTGACCTGTCTCTACAAACAGTTTAAAAATAAGCAAGGGTGTGCAGGTACACACCTGGAGTCCCAGTGGCAATCACACCATTGCATTCCAACCTGAGCAACAGAGTGAGACCCTGTCTCAATAATAAAAATAATAATAATAATGAAGTTTATTAATTCAAAAATACCTATTTTCCCAAATTGAAAATATAATATGGCCCATAGCTTTGTGACTTTTCAATTCAATCATCTTAGTTACCTTCCAGGAGCAAGCTTAGACCCAGTCATCCTAGAAGGGCACATTTTTTGTTGTTTAGGAAATTACCACAAAGGACTGAAAGAAGGAAACAATGCAGGTGATTCAATGTACAGCGTGCTCCCTTTCCTCACTGACTCAGTACCATTAGTGCTTATGTAGCACTTCATGTGCTTAGATTGCTTTATAATAGCTTAATAGCTGAGACTCGCAATACTTCTGTGAGGTAGGTGGTCAGCAAATACCTTGGTTAGAAGTTTCATTTGAACAACCTGATGCCCAGAATTGTTAATGGCATACCCAAGGTAGCAGTGAGTCAGAGAGTGAGGAGGGACGTAGACATGGGTGTATCCCCTTCTGAATGCCTTTTCTGTCTCATTGGCTTTTACCAGATCAGCTTGCTGGCAAACGGGTGTGTAACTATTAAAGTTCTGTTTTTAGGGGGTAGCTAATTAAGAAGATAAGGATGGTTGACTGACTCAACCATCCTTACCTTCTTAGGTTTCAGGGGGTTTTATGCACATGGCAGGTCTTTGAACCTCCATGTCTTTTGTTAGCACACGTTGCACTTGCCAATCACCTCAGCCAAATACTAGTAGAGAGAAGGTAAGCAGTAATCTCCATGGAAACAGTTTTTCTATAGACGAAAAACAAAATGGACATTGATGGAAAAACTCTTTCATACTTCCTTAAAAATGAAGGTGCTACTGTTATTGTTCTTACTGTCAAAGCAAGAATAGGCGGGGTCCATTCCAACTGTTATTCTCAATAATTCGTGTTTCTTTGGTACAAAGAGTACTGTAAAATGCAGTTGGTGGGGATATGCTGGAGTTCTTTTTCATAACCATAGAATTTTAATTCTGGATGTGTGTGCATTTTAGAGTCTAGAATTCTAGAGTCCTTTAGAATGAAGACTGTTATATTTTAAAAAGATAATTTTGTTATTCTACATTTGAAACCACTTGCTCATTTCTGAAAAAAATCAGATATTAAGGGGAAAAAGGTATAGATATGTAATTTTGCCTTTATTACATCTGGAGGGTACTTTTTAAATTTTTTTCCAGAGCTATTAAAGTGGAGGAAAATAAAAGATATTGGTCCTTAGATCATTGATATAAATCAGATAATCATCCTATCTGCATAATGGTCTCTTAGGAGGAATAGAGAATATGTATATTAGCATAAATAAATGAAACACCAAATGTGAAAGAATTAATTAGCAAACAAACACTGAAGTTGGAGAAAAATCTGTGTTGAAGGCTGACAAAGTACTCAGGGTTGAAATAAGGTCAGACAGAGGCAGACCTATTCAATACAATGTTTTCTGTTTTTTGTTTGTTTGTTTGTTTGTTTCTGGGAAGCAAACAGGAAAGTTTGCATGAAATCATTTTACATGAAATGATACTGGGTTTACATTTTTTCAAAGAACAGTTACTTATGGAGCACCCACTATATACAAGGTTGTGTGTCTATGTGTTACGGTAGATACAAAGATAACTTCTTTTTTTCTTAGATAGGGTTTTCTCTGTTGCCCCAGCTGGAGTGCAGAGATACTATCATAGCTCACTGCAACCTTGAACTCCTGGGCTCAAGCAATCCTCTTACCTCAGCCTCCCATGTAGCTGGGACTACAGGTGTGTGCCACCATACCCAGCTCAAAAGTAAATTCCTACCAAGGTATTTGTAAGCTAGTAACATAAAATTTTTCTGAATAATGGAAAATTATAAACAAGGAGCACCTTTATTATAGCACTGAAATTTAATATATCTTTGTTTTGTGATTAATGATGCTAATTCATGTATAGGATATTTAGAAGTTAAAAATTTTATAATTTTCTTCTTAAAGGAATGCCTTATCACAGCATAGTTACACAACCCTTTAAAAAACCAATGTGGGCCAGGCACGGCCAAGGTGGGCAGATCAGGAGGTCAGGAGTTAGAGACCATCCTGGCCAACATGGTGAAACCCTGGCTCTACTAAAAATACAAAAATTAGCTGGATGTGGTGGTGCGTGCCTGTAATCCTACCTACTCGGGAGGCTGAGGCGGGAGAATCACTTGAACCCAGGAGGCAGAAGTTGCAGTGAGCTGAGATCGCATACCTCCAGCCTGGCGACAGAGTAAGACTCTGTCTCAAAGAAAAAAAAAAAAACGAAACAAATCGAAACAAAAAACAGTGTGATCAACAACTAAATCTGAAGTACCTATAATTACCAAGGCAGCAATTAGCTTAAAAAAAAAACAAACATATAAGGGATCTCAACACACATTTATATATTTTTATTTCATCTACACAATTAGATTTCAATTATTTCAATATTTTGTTGCAAAAATTGACAAATCTCTAAATCTTGAATTTGATGTTGCAACTTTTTCTTTATATGATGAAAGAAATAATTTTATAAGTGCTTCATAATTAAAACAGAAACATATTTTGGAAATTGAAAAAAAGGAAAAAAATACCTGTGTTACTATTTCTGGGCCATGTAATAATGAAGACTAATGGCATATTATTTTTCAGTTGAAAGCTAAACATAGTGTAAGATTAACAAACCATGTCATCATCAATTTTTAATCTAGAGTACCGTTTTAATTAACCAAGAAAATAGTATTGCAGTTACCTGAAATAAGAACTTTCTAGTCACTAGTTTCTAAATAAGAATGGGAAAAAAAATTACTGTACATGGTAACCAAAAGAAAGTAAATGCTTTTAAAAAGTTGTTTATTTTCTCATAATAGAAATCTTTATTCCTTTAATTTATTCTATTGTTAAGGTCCTTTTAAAAGGAGTCTCCTTTAAAGGCTGAGCACTTTGAAAGCTACAGCAAACCAGATGCTTGAAGCATTTCAGTTTTGCTTATTTTGGACTATACATGATGTGTGAATATCTTTTTTTTTCTTTTCTAATCTGAAACACAAAAAGTACTAGAGATCCTTTTGTTATCAGTATGCATCAGAATTTGAAGAAAGTTAGACATAAAATATTTCTTGGAAGAAGAGTAAACAGGTTATGCCAGTTAAAACAAGCCAAGGAATTTAGAACTACAGTATTTGTAATGTTATTAGTAAATTGGGCAGCCCATGGGGTGAAACCCATAATCAAAATGTTTGCAGTATACTGAAAAAGAGAGAGGAAGATATTGAAAGAAATGTCATATTTTCACTGCGTGTGGATGTTTTCAACAAAGCTAGGAGCTTTGTGCCCAAGCCAGTTGGCATTCTACCCTATCTGTATAGAATTCTGTGGCACTTCTTAAGCCATGAGAAATTTGATTAAGCATTATGTGTGTTCCTTACAGCAAGAAATTCTCTCGCCTGCTATAAGTCAGCTGTTTTCATCCAATTTTCTAAAGAAGAGAAACTATCAAAATAAAGGCTCACTTTGTTCAATCAAGAATTAAACCCACTCTCACCATTACAAACACGGGAAAAAAAATTCAACCTGACCTTTCCTTTTTACTGTTTATACCCTGGGGTTTGAATTTGATTCTTCTTGATCACTTTGAGGATGTCAAAGTATACTCTTCAAAGGTATAAAATGATTGATATATGGTATTCACAATAGACTGTTTTAGGTAATACATGTATGTAGTAATTCATTTTAAACATTCCTTTGATAATTAAAGCCTCATTCTTACAGAAAACACGTAGAAATAGGGTATCACAAAGAACTACTGTTATAATTTCTGCCTCTTCTGGCATACATCTCTTTTAAGAGTTATTATTCACTAACTGTATTGATTTCTTACAAATGTGTTTTATATTTTTTTACTTCCCTTCTCATTTCATTATTTTGTATTTAATTATTTTTAAAAATATTTTTTGGCCTCATGTAGAAACTGCTTTTCTGTTTTGATGTTACCTTCTTACTCGTCTAATTTTATCTTAATTATGCTTGAAGATTTTGTGTTTTTTGTATCTTTAGGTTTATTGTTGTCAGTGACTTTTTTGCTGTTTTCCAAATTTCATAAAAAGAAATAATGTACAATACGTGAGAGGAGTACCTCCGATGAAAATTCTCTAAGTAAGGATGGAGATTTTCATATTTCAGAAGAAAGAAAAAAGCAACCTAGCTTAAAAATTTGTTTAAATTGACTCTGATTATAGTTGTTAAGGAATGGAAAAAATCAGTAAGAATTAAAGACCTTCATGATTTTGACCCATTTTTTACATGGAACCACGTCAAACCTATCCGAGAGGAGCAAAAGGAAGAGGAAAGGAATAGAAAACATTCAAATGTGCCATAAAAATGAACATACTTTTTATTTGGTAGGCTATACACTCAGCAGGAAATGCTCTTAAAAAGATAAAACCAAAATTTATAAACCAGAGTTAGGCCAGGAGTATCACCTACAGGTTTCAATAATTGTGTTGAAAAGCTTAACATGAATTTCCACTTCTTTATAGTTAAAAGGGCATTGTCTCCATGAGAAGGAATCTGAGGAAAAGCTGCCGAAGTGTGGCTTTCTGTCTTGACACTGATTCACAGGAATATTGCAGCAGCCCTCTGCCTGACTCCAAATTCAAGATCACAGTTTCCTCTTTTCACTAGACTTTACATACTGTATGCATATTAAATATTTACAGTGGGTACCTTTTAAAAGGATCTCTTTTAAAAACAATAAAGTAAACAACATTCCAAGTTAATGCAACTTAGTATTGCTGAATAAATATGTTTTGTCATACAGTTAAAAAAAAATTCCAGTAGTGTTTATTTAAAAAAATTAGAGAGACAAATCTAACAATGAGGTTATTTCATTATAATCAGTAGTTACCTCAGTAGGAAGAAGGCATACCACTGCTTCCCTGCCTCACTTTCTTGGAACTCCTCTTCCTTTCAGAGGTGCTCTGGGGGTGGAAATCAGATGGAGGTTAGCAGTGGTATGACAGTTTGGCCAACATTAAGGCTTTTGTGAGCGATATACTGTCACTAGGGTCACACTATTCTCAGAAGGTAAGTAACCCAATGGACTGGCGGTAACATAAACTTTCCCCATATTTCCATGTCAGGAAAGGGCAATTAGTGGCGGGGGCAGGGGGGTCTGCTTTTGTCCCTGAAAGGTCTGTCTATAGAAATACTATCATAGTGACCACCCCACCCAGCTGAATTGGTTCACCAGGTCATCCTTTACTGACACAAGTTATGCAACTACCCTTTAATATTTCCTTCTCTTCTGATAGCAGAATTCCTCTTATCCTTGATTTTATATCCTTCACCTATTATAGACACTTGAATTTCTTCTAATCAATTCATACTGCGTATACTTCTTTAATCTTCCTGTCAGAGTCAAATCCATCTTTCTGTCTTTCCTTCTTTCTTTTCCTTCATTTCCTTCCTTCATTCCCCTTCCTTCCTTACTTTCCTTCCTTCCCTCCTTTCTTCTCTCTTTCTTTCTTTTCTTTCTTTCTTTTTCTTTTCTTTTTTCTTTCTTCTCCCTCTCTCACCCTACCTATCCATCCCTTCCTGACTTCCTCCTCCTCCTCCTCTCCCGCCTCCTCCTACCCCCCTCCTCATTCTTCTGCTTCTTTTGGCTCAACTTTCTTGTTTTAAACAGAATTCATGAGCAAAGACTAGATAGTCTGAAATCTTTCAGAAGCCCTTTTGTTGATTCATGAAAAATACTGTCTTCAGCAGTGAATTAATCCTTTGGAGTTACTACTTTCATTTCTGTCATTAATAGTGTTTATTTGTGTAACTCGAGGCTAGTCTGTTTAAAATCTATGAGGATTTTTCTAACTGACTCAAATAGGTACCATTCAGTGAATGTTTACTTGGTAGTACATGCTTCTCATGTTTTTTCTCTAGTTCTTACATTAACCCTGCAAGGGAGAATACATTATTAACATTTTACGAGTAAGAAAACAGAAGTTTCTAGAAGTTAAGTACATTGCTTCAAGCAGATTAAATAATAATATGTGTCATACAGAAAAAAATGTATAAATATGGACCACATACATATTTGTTAAACAGAACATACCTAAGACATAGTTACTAGGAGGTGAAACTAGAATTTTGAAGTCTCTGTTCTTTCTGCTACAACATGTAGCTTTTAAGACCTACATCAGAAAGAACCAAAGAAACTAATCAAGAACCATGCCAAAAAAAATGCAACCGAAATGGATTTATTTGATCTTGCTTTAAAAAATAAAATATAGGTCAGCTCTACTGACCTGGAACTGTTTTTAGCTTGTATCATTTTCTTTAAACAAACAAAATAAACAAACAAAAACTGATGCTAACTGTAGTGTGTCATAATGATGTAAAACCCAAACCAAAAATCTGTGCATGCAGGAATGATTAAATGTGAATAAACAAAATGTATTAACCTTTCAACAGGAATTATCTTTAAGTGACTATGGATCTTTTATTTATTTTATACTTTCTATTTTCCTGTATTTTCCAAATTTTCTATAGTAAGTATGAGTTGCTTTTCCAAGGAAACAGATCTTCAGTAAAATTAATTGGTAGGTTAAATTAGTGAAAAAGAAAAAAAAAAAGTTTTGCTCTTATCAGCTTACATTTTTACCATGAGATTAAAAAAAAAAAAGCAACTACATAATATCAGGTGATTGTGTACCGTGTTTGTAAAAAATATTTTAATCAGGGCTTAGAGAGTTTAGGAACCCCCTGCCATGACAAGCATGCTACCTGTTCGAAGAAAGAAAGAAAAAGTCTTGACTGAGTTAAGCTTTGGAGTTTAATTACTATTTGAATGAAGAATTAAGACTTTAAAACCCAGTTGGGCATTAAGTCATCAAGGCCTCTGACACACTGTTTTAATAAAGCTCCTGAAGTTGATGCCACACAGGAAACAGGAGCAAAAAAAACTCAACTCAGTGAATTCCAGTATTGAATTTGTACTTTATGAAAACTGTAGCTTGCCTTCAGAATTTGAAGGAAGGGGAAATCTGTTCAGCTCATTTATTTTCGGATTTAAAAATTTCTCCACAGTCCTTCAAGGACAAGCCTCACCTTCTAAGTTTATTCCCAACTGAGAGGAACATATCCATTATAGGAAATTGTTTTATAACTTTGGTACTTCCAGTTTCCATCGTTTTAATTGAAATATATTTAATTTGAAAACTGTAGTGTCTGATTCTCCAACAAATCATCCTCCGTGAGGATAGTTAGGGTTTCTCAGATGTGCTTTAACGTTCATCCTGGAAACACATGGTAGACTGTGGACAATTATATTGTAGATGTAAAGAATAACTTGAGAAGTGTTAGTCTATTCATTCATTCACCAAACACTGCTTCATATGCTGAGAATATAAAGACAAATGTGTAATGGTCCTGGTCTTCAAGAAGCCAGGTGAGGGGCCAGAAGATACTGATTGTATTTGCATGGAGAAGTGGGACTGTTGTCCTGTGTCCTTTAAAAACCACCCAATTCAGTTCTCAATTTCTGGAAACCATCCTGGACTGGTATGGTTGTGTGTGTGTGTGTATACGCAATCATGATTTGCTTAATGATGGGGATACATTCTGAGAAATGGGTCATTAGGTGATTTTGTCATTGTGCAAATATCGTAAAGTGCCCTTACACAAATCTAGATGGCGTAGCCAACTACATACTTAGACTGTATAGGATAGCCAGTTGCTCCTAGGCTAAAAACCTGTAGAGTGTGTTACTGTACTGAATACTATAGGCAATTGTGACACAATGGTATCTAAAGATATCTAAACATAAAAATGGTACAGTAAAAATAGGGTATAAAGGCTGGGGGCGATGGCTCACGCCTGTTATCCCAGCACTTTGGGAGGCCGAGGCAGGAGGATCACCTGAGCTAGGGAGTTCAAGACCAGCCTGACCAATATGGTGAAACTCTGTCTCTACTAAAAATACAAAAATTAGCTGGGCTGTGGTGGCACGCACCTGTAGTCCCAGCTACTCAGGAGGCTGAGGCAGGAGAATTGCTTGAACTCAAGAGGTGGAGGTTGCAGTGAGCTGAAATCATGCTACTACATTCCAGCCTGGGCAATAGAGGGAGACCCTGTCTCAAAAAAAAAAATAGGGTATAAAATTAAACATGGTACCCCTGTATAGGGCACTTAACCAAGAATGGAGCTTGCAGGACTGGAAGTTGCTCTGGGTGAGTCAGTGAGTGAGTGGTGAGTGTATGTGAAGGCCTAGGACATTATTACATACTACTGTAGGCTTTATAAACACTGTACACTTAGGCTACACTAAACTTATAAAAACAATTTTCCTTTCCTAATAATAAATTAACCTTAGCTTACTGCAACGTTTTAACTTTATAAACTTAATTTTTTTTAACTTTTTGACTCCTTTGTAATAACAAACATACACATTTGCCTAGGCCTACACAGGTCAAGATCATCAATATTGTCTTCCACCTCCACATTTTGCCCTAATGGAAGGTCTTCAGAGGCAATAACATTCATGGAGATGTCCTCTCCTATGATAACAATGCTTTCTTGTGGATAGCAAGGACCTGCCTGAAGGACCTGAAGGACGTGCCTGAGGCTATTTTACTGTTAACTATATATATAAAAAATAATATATAATATATAATATGTGACATTAGATATATATTTAAATATATAGCTATATTGTATATTATATATACATATATATTTTTACTATATATTATATATAAGCATACTATATATTTATATATCAAATAGACAGAGTACACTCTAAAATAATGATAAAAAGTACAGTATAGTAAATACATATGTCAGTTACACAGTGGTTTATTATCGTTTTCAAATACTAGGAAGTGTACATCATTGTAGGTGCTACACTTTATATGACTGGCAGCCCAACAGGTGTGTTTACACCAGCATCACAACAAACACGAGTAATATGTTATGCTACAATGTTAAAAGTTTTCAGCTGCATTATAATCTTATTATAAATGCCATCTGTCATTGACTGAAATGTCATTATGTGGCACATGACTGCGTGTGTACATATATATGGGCTTATAAACATAAAAAAGATACTGAAACATATACATGTTTATTTATACACACACATAAAACTCAAACTTTTTCTTAAGTTATTACATTGGGAACCCTCTGGGGAGGGTTGACTTATCAGGTAAAGAATTTATGGAAGAGTACAAAATAAAAGTACATAGTAAAAATACTTTTTGTACTTGTTTTATTTTTTATTTTATTTATTTATTTTGCGACAGAGTCTCTCTTTGTTGCCTAGGCTGGAGTGCAGTAGCATGATCTCAGCTCACTGTAGCCTCCACCTCCTGCCTCAGCCTCCCAAGTAGCTGGGCGCACCCAGTGCGCACTATTATGCCCAGCTAATTTTTGTATTTTTAGTAGAGACAGGGTTTTGCCATGTTGGCCAGGTTGGTCTCGAATTCCTGGCCTCAATTAATCTGCCAGCCTCGGCCTCCCAAAGTGCTGGGATTATAGGCATGAGCCACCATGGCTGACCTGATATTATTTTATTTTAAAAATGAATAATGTAGTCAACGGCCACAAAAGAGCATACAGTAAATACAAGTCTCTCTCATTGCCTTGTCCGTCAAACACAACAGGCACAACTGGTAGCAATTTGTTGTTATTCTTCCAGAAAGATGGTATGCCTGTAAAAGCATAAATGTATAAAACAAATAATAGGATACTATACACTCTGTGAAGCGCTTTGCTTTTTCACCTCATTAAATTTAAAAAAATATGTTGAAACATTTCAAACACACAAATGAGAACATACTGCTTCATATTACCAGGCAGGCTGTGGACACAGCTCCACAGGATACCCTTCACATTGACTATGATGTGAATAGTTCTGTCTGAGGTAGGGCAGCCCTCTGCTGAAAATAGCAAAACATGAATCCCCTTGCATCTATTCACCACCCAGCTGTATGAAAGCAAAAGAAAATGCCAATGTTTGCTCCAGTTTTTTGAAAACTTAACAGATACGGTTGAGATTGTTTGAGTATTCCTTCCTGATTTCATTATTGTCTTGCCATCCCACCATAGTCATAGATTTAGTGTTTTATAAGACCCATGGATAATTTATATATTTACTAGACACATATATCTATCAATGTAGATAGTACTACATAATGTGCCTATATTTGCTGGTATCAAAAGTTTACATAAATAGTATATTACTGAATGTATCATTCCACAACTTGCTTTTTCAGTCATCTTACTTCTTTGATATTCATCTTCACACAAGCATCTCTAGTGCACATTTTAAATGCTATATAGAATTCCACTATATGACTATATCACAATTTCCTAATCTATATCTTATTAAATGACATTTCTGTTTTTAAATATTTTTCATTAGAAACCATGCTGCAATAAACATTGTTACACCAATTTCCTTCTGCACATATGAACTTTTCCTAAAGTTCTAAATCTAGAAGTAGAATTGCTAAGTTGGAGAGTATGAACATCATCAACTTTATGATATTTCAAATTGCTCTCCAAAGTAGTGGTACCAATTCACATGCTTACTAGCAGTATATGAGAGCTATTGTTACTCTAAACCATAACAACTCTTGATACTGTTAGAATTTAAATTTTGCCAAGTGGAGATGATGTCTAACTGTTCTTTTTCATCTTCCTAATTATTAGTAGGGTGAGGATCTTTCCATATGTTTATTATTCATTTACTTATCTCTTGAATTGCCTGTTCACATTTTGCTTATTCTTTAGCATTTATATGAGTTGTGAATCTCTTTTCAAAGGATATGGTTTATTTTTTCACTTTATGTTTTGTATCTTTGTTGAACGCAAGAGTTTAAAAAAAATCTTGGTGTCATCAAATTTACCAACATTTTGCTCTACTTTTTGTGTCTTGTCTAAGAAATTTTTCCACATATAAACGTTATGAAGATAGTCCATATATTTTTTTTGTTTTACCAAAAGCTGTTTTAACATTTAGATCTTTAATCCATCTGGAATTTATTTTTGTATATGGTGTGAGAATGGGATCCAATTTTATTTTATTTCTTCCATATGGTTAAGCAATTGTTCTAGTACCATTTATTGACTAGTCCTGCCTTTCCTCACAGACTTATAGTGCCACGTTGGTCATATTTCAAGTTTGCACATATGCAAGTATCTGTTTCTGGGCTTTCTATTATGTTCCTTTGGTTTATTTGACTCTTCCTGTGCCAATACCACACTGTCTGCTTTTCCATAGCTCTATAAATTCTTGATGTATTTGGTCAGGCCAATTTCACCCTGCCCCCAGCTTATTCTTCTTCAGATTTTTTGACTCTTCCTGATTCTTTGTGCTTCCATATTAATTTTAGGATTCACTTGTCAAGTTCCATAAAGTCTCTTTTGAATTTTGGTTAAAATGTTATTAAGTTTCTAGAATATTGTGGGGGAGGGGACTAACATATTTACAATTCATGAATGTAGAAGTGTATCTCTGTATCTAATTATTTTTGTTCTTCAAAAACATTTTATTTTCCCCATAGACATCTTAACCATCATATATTAGGTCTATCCTTAGGTATTTTATAGGTTTTTTTCTATTTGATTTTGTAGCTTGTTATTATTGTTTTGTTGAAATGACAATCATTTTGGTATGTTGACTTGAGTCTAATAAACTTCCGAAGCTTTCTTATTCATTCCAGTAGTTGAAAAGCACTTGGATTTTCTTTGTTTCAAATAACATTGTTTAAAATGAGAACAATTTTATTGCTTCTCTTTCAAATCTTACATCACTTAATCCCTTTCTTCTTGAATTGCGTTAGATGAGAGCTTCAACATACTACTGACCACAAGTAGTTATAGTAGTATCCTTTTCTTGCTGCTAGGAACACTTAAAATTTCACATTTAAAGGGTGATATCTCTAGGTTTTCTCATAGATATTCTTTCTTAGGTACTCTTCCTATTTTGACTGAGCCACACGGTATCAAGACATTTTGGTCAAACATTTTCCTGGGTGTGTCTATGAGGGTGTTTCTGCATGCAACTGATATATTTGGATTAGTAGACTGAGTAAAGCTGATTGCCCTCACTAATGTGAATGGGCCCCATCTCATCAGCTGAAGGCCCAAATAGAACAAAAAGGCTAACCGTCCGCAAGTAAGAGGTCACTCCTCCTGCCTGACTGCTTTCAAACTGGGACATCAGTGTTTTTCTGCCTTGGGACTCAAATTAAAACATTGGCTCTTCCCAGGTCTTAAGCCAGCAGCCTTCAGACTGGAATTACACCATCAGTTTTCCTGAGTCTCCAGCTTGCCAACTGCAGATCTTGGGACTTGTCAGGCTCCGTAATCGCATGAGCCAATTCCTTATAATAAACCTATCTCTCTCTCTCTCTTTCTGTCTCTCTCATTGGTTCTCTTTCTCTGGATAGCCCTAACTAATATATTTGCAAACGTATCATATCCACAAATCAATTCAATCATTCTTACCACTGCAACTACCCTAGTACAAGCCGCCAAGTAATTTCATCTGAGATACTGCCATTCCCTCTTACCTAGTCTCATCTTCATGAGATTCATATCAATTATATTCACCCTAGTATAGATTATTATCTATATATTAGCCAGAGAGGTTATTTAAAAGACAAATCAGGAAGGGCACAGTGGCTCACACCTGTAAACCCAATATTTTGGGCAGCTGGTGGGGGAGGATAGCTTGAGTCCAGGAGTTCGGGGCCAGCCTAGGCAATATAGTGAGACATCGTCTCTACAAAAAAATAAACTTAGCCGGGTGTGATGGCGTGCACCTGTAATCCCAGCTACTCAGAAGGCTGAGGTGGGAGGATGCTTGAGCCCAGGAAGTTGAGGCTTCCGTGATCCAAGACTGTACCACTGCACTCCAGCCTGGGCAACAGAACAAGACCCTGTCTCAAACAAACAAAAGCAACACATACACAAACCAGATCATGTCACTCCTCTTCTGAAAACCCTCCAAAGTTTTCCCATCACATTTAGAATAAAATCCAAAGTCCTTACTTTGGGATACAAAATCCCACATGATCTGAGTTCTAGCAATCTCTCCCATCTCATCTCTTTTCTCTTGCTCAACCCTGCCATCCACATCACTGCTCCTCATGCCTGCCAAGCAGGCTTCTAAATGTTCTTCCTTGATCCTTGATCCAAGCAAAATCTTGTCTTGTCGTTACTGCACTCACATTTCTCTCTGCCTGATGTGCTCTCTCACTGAAAATATGTGTGTCTCACTCCCTCACTTCAGCCAGGTGTCTGCTCAGAGTAGCATGCTTCATCACATTCTATCTTATTACTTGGTTTTGTTGCTCTTTGGAGCAGTTATTGCCTCATGACATTATACAGTTTTTCTGTTTATTTGATTATTTTCTGATTCACCCACTTGAATACAAAGTCCATGAGTCAGAGAATTTTTCCATTTATTTAGATGTTATATCCCCAATGCCCGAGGTAATGCCTAACACATAGTAGGCACTAAATCAGTGTTTGTTAAATAAATAAATGCATCAATTTTATTATTTTTTCTGCATTTTCCTGCATCTATGATTTGATTATGTGCTAATATGGTTGATAGGTTTTCTGACATTAAAACAGCTTTACATTCTTAGAACAAATACTACTAGAATATGATGTGTATTTTTAATACATAAAAGAACTCAATTTGTTAATATTTTATTTTAAATTTTTGATTTTATATTCACATAAGAATTATGCTACAGTTTTCTTTTTATCGTGTCCTTACCTAGTTTGAGTGTCAACGTGTCAACAGCATATTAGCCTCACAAATTAAGCCAACCAGCTTTTCTTCTTCTTTTTTTTTTTTTGAGACGGAGTTCAACCTCCACCTCCCAGGTTCAAGTGATTCTCCTGCCTCAGCCTCCCGAGTAGCTGGGATTACAGGAATGAGCCACCATGCCTGGCTAATTTTGTATTTTTAGTAGAGATGGGGTTTCCCCATATTGGTCAGGCTGATCTCGAACTCCTGACTTCAGGTGATCTGCCTGCCTCAGCCTCCCAAAGTGCTGGGATTACAGGCATGGGCCACTGTGCCCGGCCGCTTTTCTTCTTTTTTTAAAATCTGAAATGTAATTATTATAAAAGAGCAGATTTTTATCTTTAGAAAGTTTGATAAAACACACATGTAGGCTGTCTTGGCTTACTGTTTGGGGGCAGAAGACTCCTAACAATTTAATTTATTTCATAGTTATTGGTTTATTAATGTTTTCTATTTTTTCTCCAGTCAATTTTGGTAACTTCTATTTTCCTAGGAAATTATCATTTCATCTAAATTTTCTATTGGCACAGTATGTTCCTATTATTTGTAATATCTGTAATATCTATATTTGTTTCCTTTTATTACCAATTACTTGTCCTTTTTATTTTCAGGAAGCTTTCATCAAAGCTCCAGCTTTTAGCTTTATTATTTCTCTCTATTGTTTATTTTCTACTTATTAATTTATGTTCTTTGTTATTTCCTTAGAGTAGATATATGTTTTTGTTTTCTTTGTTATTATTTTTCTAACTTTCTGAGTTTAACACTTAACTGATTTATTTTAAGTCTTTTCATTAATTCTGTTAAAGGTTCTATTTTTGCCATCATGTACTTTGCTGTATCCCTCAGTATTATTTTCATTGTTATTTATATTTAAATATTTTCCTAAAGCATAAAATATGTTTTAAAGTCCAAACATATATGGATTCTTTAAAACCACTGTTCAATGTTGATTTCTTATTTATTAGGTTGGTGCAAAGGTAATTGCGGTTTCTGCCATTACTTTCAGTGGCAAAAGTAATGGCGGTTTTTGCCATTACTTTCAATGGCAAAAACCACAATTAGCATTGTGGTCACAGAATGTGGTCTGTATAACACTAATATCTTATAATTTATTGAGAAGTTCTTGGTGACCTAGAACATGATCAATTTTTCAAAATTAATATTTCATATGTACTTGAAAAGAATGTATATTTTTATTTGGGGGGTATAGAGCTACATAAATTTCTTCAGCTGAAGCAACTCTAACCCTTTTATATTTTGTCTGTTGAATATCATTTTAAATTATGTTGTTAACTATATAGAAGTTCATAACATACATTCTTCATGGATCATTACTTTCATTACTATGTGATGTAAGTCTTCCTTTCTATTAGTACTTTTTGCTATAAATTCTATCTAGCCTGATACTAATATTAATACAGCAGCTGTCTTTTGTTTAATAATTGCATGCTGTATATTTTACAATATCTTCAACTCATCTCATTAAGAAGCTACGAGACTTGTCTCATATGGCTAATGCACAGACACACTAAGATTTGACCCCAGGCAATCTTACACAGGTCACATTCAACTCCTAAACTATGCCATCTCCTGGAATGGGCTTCTAATCTGGGATTCCAGTAGGCCCATAACTTCTGTCATTTTCATTCTATTGAATTTCTTTTTCACAGAGATGTTTATCCTGTGTTTGATACTTTCTATGTCTTTTTGTTTGTCTCATTATTTTTTATGTATCATTGCCATGTACTTCTTGAACTGTTCTATACAGACTTTGCTTAATATTTCTGGAGATTGCTTCATAACATTACATACAGAGCTGCCTCATTATATTTAATGACTGCATAGTATTTCGTTGTATATGTTATAAAATTTATTTAATTAGTCCCATAAAGATGTGCATTCGGGTTATTTTCAATATTTTGCTATTACCAACAACACTGAAATAAATACCCTTGGACATAAGTAGTTTGCAAACATTGGAGTATTTTTGTAGAATAATTTTCTAACAATGAATTGGTAGGCCAAAGATTATAGGCACTTCCTATTTTATAGATATTTCACAATTGTTTTCCATAAGTTATACTCCCAAAAGCAGTGTATAAAAGTTTATATGTCCCACACTTTCTCACCAATTGTATAACTTCAAACTCTTTGATCTTTGTTAATCTGATAAGTTAAAAAAATGGTATATCACTGTTTTTTCATTTCTTATTAGTGAGACTGAGCATGTTTTCCTCAGTCATTTGTCTTTTAACAAGTTTAAGTTTGTCTTTTCTGTTAGTTGCTGGTTTACATTTTCAGTGTTTTAAATATTTAAATCTATACTGACAAATATACTCTCCCTTGCATTTTCTAAGTTTGGGTTTGGCAGTTAAATGGAGCCAATGTACCATTCCAGTACTTTTTTTCCCTCTCTCCATTCAGTTCTTGGTTGACTAAAAATTTTCTTCCAGAGAATTTTCTCCCATTAATAAATAAATTTGGATAGGCATTAAATTCTTAGTTTATACTTTTTAAAAAGATCTTTGAAAGTATTTCTTTTTTCTGTTCTAGTATTCACTCTTTGTATAAACTTATTATCTTTTTGAATGGAAGCCCAAATATTTTTTCTTTATATTTAAAGCCCAGAAACTTTACTAGAATATGTCTCTGTGTTCATTGTTTAAAGTTATTTTTTTAAGGCCCTGCTATGTG
Organism: Homo sapiens; assembly: GCF_000001405.40. Classification (NCBI taxonomy): domain Eukaryota; kingdom Metazoa; phylum Chordata; class Mammalia; order Primates; family Hominidae; genus Homo; species Homo sapiens. The sequence goes on along the minus strand of NC_000012.12, from coordinate 28,111,466 downwards.
CACTCCTTCAATCAACACATCTGAGGCTACTTATACTGCTATAAACTTTTCTTTAATTACATCTTTAAATATTTTTCTTCTTCCACAATTTATGTTCTTGAGGACAACATTCTTTTTAAGTTCGATATTCTGTATATTGGATCTTTCATATCTGTTTTCCACATCTATCATTTCCTTCTTAATTTTTTAAATCTCCTTTTAACTTTCTATTCTATTTTGCTCCCTTTATAATATTCCATACGTCTTACTGTGTTTTTAGTATGTCTGTTCTGTGTGCTGCTTCAAACATGGCCTTTATTTTTATGATGGTTTTATTTTTCCCTTTCACTTCTTTTGAGCTTGCCAGTCCAATTTTCATTGTATTCTGTTGCCTCACCCTATTTTCTACATTCTCGTGTCTATGCTTAGAATTCCTATTTTATAGAAGCATTAACTTCTTAACATTTAAAATTTCATGGTAAGTAACTTGCTCACAGTTTTTAAAGAACTCTGTAGAAATATTTATCTGGTGAGGGTTTATTACCTGCCATTCCTTTTCTTTTTTTTTCCTTATATCATATTTGGATAATTCTATGTAAGTTCTTTAAAAAAAATCACCTCCTATTTGAATGAAGTTACTTCTTCCTGAAGTAGCTCTTTATAGTGTGATACTTTGAGGGAGGTGAGGGCTATATTCTAGACTGGCAGGAATTCTCCTTGGGATACTAGTGTGTGAGTACAGGGTTACTTCTCCCTAGCTAACAGAAGTTGATATTTCAGGGCTTCTCTCAATGCCTGCTTTCCCCTCTAACCTGTTGTACCAGTAGACTGCTTCCTGGTAATATGACTTATCTTTGTGTTTGTATTTCCTCATTCGGCCTTATCTTCCCCTTCTTCTTTTTACCAAACTCGGTCCAGGGAAGCTCTTGCTATTAGACTATACTTCTAACATAAGTAATATTGACCCAGATAAAGAAGAGCTGGGCTTCGCCAGGCTTGAATGAGATCTGTACCCTCTGGAGTCTTCTCTCAGCATCTGCCTGTGTCCCTGTTTTACTTCAGAAGATCTGGCAGCCTTCTTCCTTTGCTAGGATTCAGAGTTAGAGGGCCCTCTTCCTGTCATAGAACTAAGTTCTAGCTTTAGGTTTTGTTTCTTGTTCTTATTGATTTGGGTGATTTCTAAGAGGAGAGGAAAAAACATCTTGATTACACCTATTTTAAAACTGCAAATCATGTATTCAAATTTTAACAATGACTTCTATGATCAATAACTTTAAATACTCTCTTAATTTCTTCACTGCTCTCATTTCTAACTCTTTAGTTATATTTATTTCTTTATGACTATCAACAACTTATTTTCAATCCTGCTCAATTAAATTTTAGAAGTAAGGGCACAGTCTTTACAAAACATAAAGAGCAGCTTACAGCCTTGCCTACAACCTCTAGCACATATTTCAGGATCATATTAGTTTTCTAAATTATCACTTCTTAATATAGAACTATAGGTAAGAAAATTTTATATTTATATGTTCAATAAAATGTCACAATGAAAATTGTGAAAAGATTTTTTCTCTATGACAAGCAAAAACATGATAATGTATAATGTGCAGATGAAATGTCAATTCATTCCAATATATACACATTACTATAAAGATCATTATATAGAAGTTATGCTGTATTTGAAATTGGTAAGCTGATATAAAGAGGTATTATTTTGAAATAGCACATCAGCTAATGATGAAAAAATACCACATATATTTTCATACTAAAGAATGCAACTATTGGAAGTGTCTTTTCCCTTAGTCACTTAAGGAATTAAATATACTTAGGATAATAGGCAACTTTTAAAAAGAAAATGTTTATCAGTTTTGTAGGGGGAGGTCCAAGTTCACGACACATCACACTACATTTTATAGAAGTATAGGGTTTTATTAAACTTCCTGTTTCTGCTGGCTGCTTGCTTGCATAGCTGTGGAGGGCCATGTGATTGTAGCAAATGCTGGATGTAAATTTATATCTTTGGCATAAAATGAAAGATAAAATTATTGGAAATCTGAAAATGTTTTTGCTTGTATAAAAACTTGATCTTAAAAGTTACACTACACCACCTTAGAAAGGGAGAGGGACAGAATTAATGTCAATAGTCTAAATATTGGTTTGGGCTTCTAGCAAATTTTTCATGGGAGGCCATGGGGGTGTGATTAATGCTTCCCAAGAACACTTAGATATTCTCCATCAAGTAATCTGTGCTGGAAAGGATTGAATGCTAGGTCCCCAGATGATTAAAGCATATTGGCCCAAGGTAACATTAAAGCTAGAACTCAATAATTCTAGTTAAACTAGTAAAAATGAGAGATTTAAATTTATACCCAGATTTTGAAGAAAAAATAACTAATCAACAAATGCACACACGGAAAGTTTCCAACTACACATTTCCTACTAAATGAAAAATCCCATACCCAGATATTCATAGCTTCTAATTATTTTGTACTCAAACTTCCCAGGTATTTTTTCATTAGATACCCTTATTCTCTCACAAAAAGGTTGTAATAAGGTTGTTGCCACAGCTGCACCAATTCTCTCTTACCCTTCTCTGATTTTTGAGGGCAACTGGAAACCAATGTGGTTTGTTTTTGTACATAGTAACTTGGCCCAGGTCACAGGAATACCACAAAAGAGTCTGATAACAACACATTTGCACTCAGACTGCACATGTACAGATAAATACACATCCCAAAACTATTTTTTCACCCTCACCCACAGAGACAATATATCACTGCCGTTAGAGTCATCAACTGCTTCAGAACATGAAATGCCACTTTAAGACAGTGCCATGGAGCCATTCCAGGCATTCATTAAAGCTTTTTATTTTTTAAATTTTATTTTCTTTTAGATTCAAGGAGTACACACACGTTTGTTACATGGGTATATTGCATACTGGTGGGGATTGGGCTTGTAGTGCACCCATCACCCAAATAGTGAACATTGTACCCAATAGGTAGTTTTTCAATCCTTGGCCACCTCCCATCCTCCTCTCTTTCAGAGTCCCCAGTGTCTATTATTTCCATCATTATGTCCATGTGTACTCACTGTTTAGTTCACAATTACAAGTGAAAATATGCAGTATTTGGTTTTCTGTTTCTGTGTTCACTTAGGATAACGGCCTCTAGCTCCATTCTTGTTGCTGCAAAGGATATGATTTCATTATTTTTTATTGCTGAGTAGTATTTCATGGTGTATTAGGTACCACATTTTCTTTATCCAGTCAACCATTGATGGATACTTAAGTTGATTCCATAACTTTGCTCTTGTGGACAGTGCTGTGATGAACATGAGTGCAGGTGTCTGTTTTACATGTGATTCATTTTCCTTTGGGTAGATACCCAACCGTGGGATTGCTAGGTGCAATGATAGTTCTATTTTTAGTTCGTTGAGAAATCACTGTTTTCCATAGAGATTTAACTAATTTATATTCCCACTAACAGTGTATAAGTGTTCTTTTTTCTCTGCATCCAGGCCAACATCTGTTGCTTTTTGACTTTTTAATAATAGCCTTTCTGACTGGTGGAAGATGATATCTCATTGTGGTTTTAATTTGCATTTCTCTGATGATTAGTGATGTTGAGCATTTTTTCATGTGTTTGTTGGCTGCTTGTATTTCCTCTTTCAAGAAATGTCTGTTCATGTCCTTTGCCCAGTTTTTAACGGGGGTTGTTTGTGTTTTTTCTTGTGGAGTTGAGTTCCTTGTGTTATTAGTTCTTTGTCAGATGTATAGTTTGAATATATTTTTTCCAATTCTGTAGGTTGTTTAGTCTGTTGATTATTTCCTTTGCTGTGCAGTAACTTTTTTGTTTAACTAGGTCCCATTTGTCTATTTTTTTTTTGTTGCTATTGCTTTGGGGTCTTCATCATACATTTTTTTGTCTAGTCCAGTGTCCACAAGTTTTTACTAGATTTTCTTCTAGAATTTTTACAGTTTCCAGTCTTACATTTAAGTCTTTAATCCTTCTTAAGTTAATTTTTTGTATGTGGTGAGAGAGATAAGACTCTAGTTTCATTCTTCTACATATGGCTATCCAATTTTCCCAGCACTATTTATTGAATAGGGTGTCCTTTCTCCAGCGTTCACTAAAGCATTTTAAAATCATTGTTCCTTGAGAATTATCTATTTTACAATTGTGATTTCCTTATTCTTTTCAGGCCACTCTTAATCAGTCTAAATCTAACTAATATCCCTAGAAACCGTATTAAAAATGGTTGGCTTATTTTCAGTGTATATAAATACAATTATACAATTATTTTAATAATTTTATTGTGTACTTGTTTCAGACTCATTGCTCCAGCTGGAGAGTTGATTATGACACAATGCCTGCCTTGAAGAGGTAAGAATTTAGTTGGAGGCAAAGGTTAGAATAAGGAAGCTATACGGTAATTACTTAAGGATTATATGGCAAAGCATTTCCTAAGCAAATGGCTTTCAAATTCATGGCAGTTGTTGAATCTTTTCTTAATAGAAATCTTATAAGTAAATCCAAGTTATTAGACGCATAAAAGAAAAATTCTTCTGATTGAAATAAGAACACAATTCCATGAGTCTCTCCTGCTGGGTTCCTTGTCTTAACCCCTTGCAGCCCTTAAGCTTCTTTTACAGATGCTCTTAGGGTTTTTGGAGTGAATCTCTTAATCCCTACTGTACACATACATACATTTATTTTGTCCAAATAACTGAAGACAGATATATTTAATGTATAATAGCCTTTGATAAGTAGCAGTATCCCACGATATGGGTTGGAATAACCATATTACAGACTAAAGTATGATTTTTAAAGTAGAAATCAATGGGGACTAGTGAAAAGATAGCAAACAAAGAAGTGAAGGATGGCAATTGGTCTCATGATATTACAGAACTAACCAATTAATGGTTAATAGATAAACAAGCCAGACTTTCCAAATCCTAACTTCTATGGATAAAGTTTTACGAGAACCATTGCTAGTTTTGTCCCTCAGTTCTCCCCAAATGACTGTGCTAACTGATAGGTACTATGGAACACTATGCAAATGTCTCCAGATAGTTGAAGGATTCATGTATTTAGTAAGTACCACTGCATGCATTAGAATATTCTAGATAGGTCTTGGGTTGGAATAAACATGGTCTTATTATACAAAACGTGTTCTTAGAAATTAACCAAATTCTAAGAAACGAACTCAGTTTTATCTTACCAAATTCCACGAGGTGGGTGCCTGAGTATAAAACCAACCTAAAGTTTTAGATATGGAGTTTTCTTGCCACCAGATGTTGAAGCTAGGAAAGAAGATGGGGCCTCACTAACTTACTTTGCATTTACTTTCTGCCTTGTAAACATGTGGCAAATGTAATAGAAAGTATATTTAGGATATAAGCAGGAAAATAAATTTTTATTTTTTTTTCTGACATTTTGTGACTCTAGATTCCCATGACACAAACACTGTTTAGATATGTAGTTCAGTGATTTAGTGCTTTGTGGGCAGGTAATTCATGGACTTCTCATCCACTTGATTTTGAGTAAGAGAGCTTTGGAATTGTGATGCAAAATTAAATTAGACTAATCACAGAAGCAGAGCATTCAATTGAGAAAAAATTGTAGGGAAATTTACAAAGAGAGGAAAGGGTGATTAGTGATAAAGGGTAGTAAAAAATAGCTTTTGTTTAAATACTAGAGATAAACCCAAGTACCCAGCTAGATATGTGCTTGGGAGAGAACTGTATAAAAGGAGAGATTTATTGGAAATGTTTTGTGACAGAATACTATCAGCAGATGTTCCTTGTTAGGAGAATACATATTAATGTTGATGTATTGCCTCAATTTGTTTACATTCCCTCCAAACTGGCTGATAAAGCTGCCTTATAGAATCACTGCACATGGTTATACACTGTACAAGGAAAAATATCTAAGAATGACATTCACATCATAGATGTCATGGATTTGCATATTTATTATGGCAATATTCTCTACTGAAATAAAGTCATGAGGAAGGGGCACTTTTTTCCCATTTACAAAAAGGTGCCACCTGTGCTAGCAACAATCTAGTGTTAATTCTTCCGTAGAATCACTTCAACTCTAAGATGTTCCTTGGCCAGATGAACAGATGAATCATTCCTCATTTCCTTTTCTTATCATGCTCATAAATGAGATCTAAAATGCTCATTAGGTCTTTGGACTCTTTTGGCACCAAAAAGATGGTTGGCATTCAAAAGACTGGGAAGGAACCCAAAACTAGTTGTTTCACTAACACAAATTGGGGATTGGGTAGTCACAGACGGAAAACAAATAAGCGGATTTGGTGAAGAAAATTATACTTCTTTTTTCTTTCTTGTTTACTGCCTGGTGCATAGCAGCTACTCAAGAAAATATTTTGGGAATGAATTAATGTCCATAGGGACCATCATCTCTAGAACCATCCAAAGTCTCCTTTACTTTCAGGATCAGTCCAAAGGCTAAGTATTTATGACTTCATGGAGGATAAATATTAGTAACAGTGATGATGAAACTGATTATACATTGTAGTTCTTTACATAGATTCTACCAACTGATACTCCTATACTCCTTACTTTACTATACTCCTGTGATTTTCTAAAACATACTCCTTCCTTTATACTCCTTACTTTATACTCCTTCCTTTATACTCCTTACTTACTCCTTACATACTCCTTACTTTATACTCCTTACTTTACTGTACTCCTGTGATTTTCTAAAACATACTTATTCTATTATATCCAGGCAGCTGTTCTCCATTCTCACTACGTAACCCAATGTCCACTTTCTGGCCAGGTTCTCAGGCACACTTGACATTTTCATCAAGAGAAGGAAAATCATTTCAAGTCCAAAGGATAAGCACCATCATGGTAAAAAGGTCATAAAACACTAGGAGTTGCTCTTTAGCAATAGATTTTTGAAGGTAAGGCCAAAGAAAACATGGGACATGGTTTGGAACAAGCTTGCGTATACTTCATCATCAGGGCTGTGGTACACAGTATGAGAAGGCTTCAGGGGAATTAAAACACCACTGGAAAGGAGGGTTTTGCTTGCATTGGCTATAATAAATATGTTTTTACAATAAACAAATGGGTGGCCATAAGACATGCATGTCTGATGTTGAAGGGAAAGCCTGTTTGCACCAAATAAATTACAGAAACAGTTCAAGAGCAGTTCATCCTAGTGAAAATATTATCCCTGAACTACTAGCAGGGTTAGTGTCAGGTTAGGTTATCTTTTGTATGAATGCCAACTACACTCACTAAACCTGCCTAAGGGTAGTTTGTTGAAACCATTATACGCTTTTTCAGTAATCTTACACACTTCTACTTTAATCACAGCCAAATCTTACTTTTTTCATCTCAGGATCAACTTTTTCAGGGGGCTATCTTACAGCTTGAAAATCATTCTTCCCTGCCCCGGCATGCTCCCTGCCCCTGCCCTATCCTATGTGACTGCATTCCAAATGAATGTCTGAGATGAAGGCCAGGGCAATAGATGCCAATCCTGTACAAATCACAGAGCGGACAGACTGATCCAAAGGCCATCATTTATTCAAAGTCCAGTCCTTTAGTTCACTGGAAGGGAATGGCTTTTAAAATATGGCCAGCAAAAACAATGAAGTAAGACTCTTTGGGGGGCATTAATTTCATCAAAACTTTTGAAACTCTTTAGATGCTCATAAACTTTGGATTTTTAGAGCACTACAGGAATATAATATATTTATATTTGTTATTTATTATAATTTATAAATATTTATTTTGTAACGTAAATATTTATAAGTTTTGGTCTTCCAAGCCTCTAATGCAAAAATGAACATGGAATTAATTGAATGGCTAGCAAGGCAGATGAATACTTCTCAGCAATGGCAATTAATACTCTAATTGCTACGACTTGCAAAGGTTTGCAAAGAGAACAAAAACTTCACATCAATAGTCTGTCACCAAGCATTCACTGAACACCCACAAATTGGAATAGGTATCTGACAGAAGCTATCTGTGGACAGTATCCTCAAATTACTCTTCTGTCTTTCCAGATAATTAAGGCATTTAGAAATTGATATGGTTTGAATCTGTGTCCCCATCCAAATCTCATGTCAAATTGTAATCCCCAATGTTGGAGGTGGGGTGTGGTAAGAGGTGATTGGATTACGAGGGTGGGTCCTTCATGAATAGTTGAGCACCATTCCCTCGGTGCTGTTCTCCTGACAGTGAGTGAGTGAGATATGGTGAGATCTGGTTGTTTAAAAGCGTGTGACACCTCCCCGCTTTTTCACTTCATCCTGTTCCTGCCACGTAAGATGTCTACTCCCACTTTGCCTTCCGCCATGAGTAAAATCTCCCTGAGGCCTCCCAGAAGCAGCTGCTGCCATGTTTCCTATACAACCTGTGAAACCATGAGCCAATTAAATCTCTTTTCTTTATGAATTACCCAGTCTCACATATTTCTTTATAGCAGTGCGAGAACAGACTGCTACAGGAATATGTGTCTGTCAAATACTTGTTGTTATTGTTGTTTATAATGTTATTCACTGTAAGTTCTTTTTAAATCATTTTTTTAAAGTAGGAATGAATGTTCTTCCTTTTCCTGCTTGCAGTACGTCAGTGTTATATGTTACAAGTCAAGAGCTTCAAGACAGAAAAGCAGGATTTGTGTTTCAACTCTATCACTTCATAACTGGGCAAATGATTGAAACTCTGAGTCTCAGTCCCTTCCACCATAAAATGAGGATGAAAGTGATAGCCTCTATGCACAGTTTTTGAGAAGGATTGCAGAGAATAATGTATGAGATGAAGTAATCAAAGCTTATATAAATATAAGTTGCCATTTTTTTGTATATTTTTCTTCTTTTTTTATTATTATTATACTTTAAGTTTTAGAGTACATGTGCACAATGTGCAGGTTAGTTACATATGTATACATGTGCCATGCTGGGGTGCTGCATCCATTAACTCGTCATTTAGCATTAGGTATATCTCCTAATGCTATCCCTCCTCCCTCCCCCCACCCCACAACAGTCCCCAGAGTGTGATGTTCCCATTCCTGTGTCCATGTGTTCTCACTGTTCAATTCCCACCTATGAGTGAGAACATGCAGTGTTTGGTTTTTTGTCCTTGCGATAGTTTACTGAGAATGATGATTTCCAATTTCATCCATGTCCCTACAAAGGACATGAACTCATCATTTTTTATGGCTGCATGGTATTCCATGGTGTATATGTGCCACATTTTCTTAATCCAGTCTATCATTGTTGGACATTTGGGTTGGTTCCAAGTCTTTGCTATTGTGAATAGTGCCACAATAAACATACGTATGCATGTGTCTTTATAGCAGCATGATTTATAGTTCTTTGGGTATATACCCAGTAATGGGATGGCTGGGTCAAATGGTATTTCTAGTTCCAGATCCCTGAGGAATCACCGCACTGACTTCCACAATGGTTGAACTAGTTTACAGTCCCACCAACAGTGTAAAAGTGTTCCTATTTCTCCACATCCTCTCCAGCACCTGTTGTTTCCTGACTTTTTAATGATAGCCATTCTAACTGGTGTGAGATGGTATCTCATTGTGGTTTTGATTTGCATTTCCCTGATGGCCAGTGATGATGAGCATTTTTTTCATGTGTCTTTTGGCTGCATAAATGTCTTCTTTTGAGAAGTGTCTTTTGAATTGTCTTTTACAACCTGGTGAAAAGCTTATGACATGTAAGTGACCATTTAAATCAGTGATACCTGATGAGAACTTTGCTGCACATAAAAATCACCAATGGAGCTTAATAAAAATATAGCCCAATAGGCTATAGCCCTCACTGATTCTGACTTAGTAGACTGGGTGCGGGCCAGTATGTCTCTTTTTAAAAGTGCCATAGGTAGACCAAGATTTGACAACTACTGTCTTAATAAACAAGAAAGCCCCTCTTCTTCAGGATGCTTCTGGGAAAATAACTAATGTACCTTCTAGATGATTTGGCTTACAAATAGAAACTTGGATTCCAGGACAATCTGTGAAAATCCATATGCTAAAAACTCTTGTAAACTCTAATAATAGATTCTAAACCTCCAAATATGAGAATCTATAGAAATGTACTCTGCCTGGTGGTAGAAATTTGAATTAAGGGATACTAAGGAAAGTTGATATTAGTTCATTAAAGTATCTGCCATGCTATCACTACAGACAAGGAATATACGCTAATATAACTGACCAATAATTTTATAGAATCTGCAGTTCCACAAAAATGTTTTAGTAAATAGTGTGAAACATGAGAGGAAATGGTAATTTTTAATTTTCTTCTTCTTTACTAGAGGGGCTGAATTACTCATGGCGTCCCAAATCTCTCTTAATGCATAGTATGAGGTCTGTAGTTGTTAAGACTGACTCAACATTTTCTTAAAAGAATTCTGAATTGAATCTTTCTGAAGAAGAAAAAAAAAAGATCACTTACCATTTCATTATTTTTCATCCTCATTCACCTCTGAACTTCCTGGTTCTGTCTGGGGCCAAAGTAAAAATGCCAAAACACCACGGGAAAGGCTGCTCTCACAGTATTTCTGGCTCACCAAAAATTTCTGGAGAAAGCCAGTTTCCATGAGATTTCAGTTCCAATTTTATAGACCCAAGAAAACTCAAGATAGTTCAGATAAAGTTCAGATAAGCATTCAAATTTTTCAGTTACTGATGCCAGAAGAACCACTAAGTCATTTGACATGTTCACATCACTGTTTTAGGACAGAAAAAAAAAACAACTAGAATTCTGATCCAATGTGAACAATTTTAGAGGAGTACAATGTACTGAGAAGCCATTAGAATTAATAGGTAATTTTTTTAATAAAATGCAAAAATAAAAACAATGACCCTGTGGCTTATTTTAGGTATAAATAAAATTTAAATGAAATAACCTAACAACATCAAACATTGAGCAATAGCTTGTCCAAGAAAAGCTACTACGGCAATTAACACAAGATATGACTTGAGGTGACAACACTTTGCCCACCTGTTTATCTTTCTGAGTTCCTACCTTACCTTCCTTCCTTAAAAATGGAAATGATAGTACCAACATCACTATACATTACATGTTCCAGCAGGTATAATGAACTACTAATCCTAAAACCTTAAAGTTCTCTATTTCTTGCATTGGCATGGGATGGAGCAGGAAAGAAGAAAGTTAATTGAACTTGCAAATAATCCTCTAAAAAAATTACCTTTGGGGCCAGAAATTACCCTCTGAGGCAAGAAATAAATTCTGAATTTTTTAAAGGGTGAGTGGTTTGGTAAATTTACTCACCAGGAGATCAAGATCTTCTCAAAAACTGTCAACAAAGAAAAACATCGCATGCACACCAGAGTCTCATTATAACACTACCCACCCTGGTGTGAAGTTTGGAATAGCGAGCTTTTATTCTTGGATCCCATCCAAAGAGATTCAGTTATTGTAAGCACCAGAAGGAAATTGCTATAACATGGCTCCATGTATAATGCTTTTTTGTGGCATAAGCAAGACCCTATTATGCTAAAATACAGTAACTGACAAAATTAGGCTATAGAAACTGGAAATAACTGCCATTAAAAAGGAGTTTAGTATGTTTATCATTCTACTAAAATTTTAACCAGTCTTCTCATCTCCCAAGAAATACATAAACCTTAGCAAATCAAATCTGTATCTTCTTCACCCAGCATAAATTATCTCTTGTTCTTAGCTAATGGGAGAATACATACTTACAAGGATAGGAAAAATACTTTGGACTCTTCCTTTACTAAGTTTATAGCTAAAGGAACATTTTTAAAGAATGTTTCCAATGTAGACAACCATTTTGAAATATTTAGGTAAGGAAAAATTAATTAATACCTACCATTTTAAAGTACTACTTTATTTCCTTTCTTTTTCTTCTACCATCTTGCCACTCAACTTGGGAACTTAATTACTCAAATTATTTGTGTATATTTACCCCCATGATATGGTTTGGCTGTGCCCCCACCCAAATCTCATCTTGAATTTTAGCTCCCATAATTCCCACATGTTGTGGGAGGGACCCCTGGTGGGGGATACTTGAATCATGGAAGGAGTTTCTTCCAGACTGTTCTCCTGGTAGTGAATAAGTCTCACGAGATCTGATGTTTTTATAAGGGGTTTCCCCTTTTGCTTGGCTCTCGTTCTCTCTCTTGCCTGCTGCCATATAAAACATGTCTTTCACCTTCCACCATGATTGTGAGACCTTCCCAGCCACATGGAACTGTGAGTCCATTAAACCTCTTTTTCTTTATAATTTACTCAATCTCGGGTATGTCTTTATCAGCAGTGTGAAAATGGACTAATACACCCCACTTACTAAATAATTATTGATTTGTACTTTAGAAGGAGATATCAGGCTTCTAAGTAGGGGTCAAGTTTCCTCTTAATTTTGTCAATCAATTCTTCAATTTTCAGGAAAATGAAGAAATTTTCTCTGGTCATATATTATCCCTAATAACTATTAAACAAAAGCATAAATTATTAGTAATTTTATTAATCAAAATTTGTATCTAAACTCTAACTCAATACCCATATTTAGAAAGGAGCAAATTCCTCCAAAAGAAAATATACCTAGTTAATATGCTATAAAAATATCAAGTCTGAATCTTAGCACTCAGTAGACTGAAAATTACTCAAAAGTAAGGGATTAGAGAAACAAAAAGTCTTGGCAAATATACACGTAGAGGTGTCCCACCCATATTTAAATCATTAGTTATCTTTTAATATGGTACCTACTATTTGTTTAATGTCACTAAGTATGAGGTACTATCCTAGGCATTGTACATGTGTTTTATCACTTAATGTACTTTAATCTAAACGGTGCAAGAGCAACTTCAATACAGGTATTAGTATTACCCCTATTTACAGATAAGAAATGGAGACTGAGAAGAATGAAGTTAACCTATATGTGTGCATACATCTCGCAAAAAATAGAACTGACTTTTAATCTAGGTCTGTTTGACTTAAAAGTCTATTTACTTTTCACTATGAAGTTTGTTCTAAATGAGAATAATGTACTTTATCACCCTATAAATATTATAACAGTAAACATTGAAGTGGTATAAACTACAATGGAAGTTATCTAAGCCAGAAATTATTGTATAATTTAACACTAACTCACTTTTTAAAATTTTATATTTGCACTAATGAACTCCTTGCTCATATAGTTCTCATTACTTCCTCTACATAAATGCATCCAGATTTACATTCAGATCCAGCCACTTACTCTGTTATCAGATTAGATCAGTCTCTTGCAAAGTACCACCAAAAATGTGAAATATAATGTGTTGAAAGTTGCAAATATTTTTCCCATTGGGAAAGTCACACCTACTACTGTATATACTGTATATACTGTCATTACTGTATATACTGTATATACTGTCATTACTGTATGCACTCTATTTTAAATTTTAAATTTTCTTCCTGCTGAAAAAAGAAGGAAAAAAACACAAATAAGGCAATGATTAGAGTACTGGAGTGATTAATGAAGCTGATAACCTTAGCTAAGAAGGTCAAAAAATGAATTGGACACAGAAGCTAAAAAGATGATGAAGTGGAAGATTCCCTGGGGTGCAGACCTTTGAGATATCTTGATTATATTCAGTCAATCCTGGAGCAGCAGTGATAAGAAAAAAAACAGGATTCTGGTGATGATGGCAGCCTTTAAGACCACGGAGATGATAGAGAAACCAGTCCCAGGGGCTAAATTGGCTTGACTCAAGAAGAGAACCAGCCTGGACATAAAGTTGTTGAACAGACCACAGACATCTTTAATAGTACAGAGAAACAGTCAATGACAAGAAGAATTATTTGCAGGAGGTGGAAGAGGTGAAAGGGACTTGCAGGGGGAGTGCCAAGTAAAGATCCCTGGGATAGGCTGAGTGGACTAAGTCCACGCTGAGCAGAGAATTGTTTCCCTCCTAAGCCCAGGAGAGAAATATTTGAAAAAAAAAATCCAGAAATTCCTTCTGCATTCAGGGAGCAGGAGCTCTCACAGAGCCTTGAGGAAATAGAAGGCAAAAGGGCAGGGAAACCTGGTATGAAGGCAACCACCAGAGAGCTCACATGCAGAGAACAGGAAAACTGAAAGCTGCTATTGGCAGAGGAAGGATTTCACCAAATCTGCGTGCAGTGGGGATAACCAGAAGCTCGCTACCATACTGGTGTGTGTAAGATTGATGTCCAAACTGCTGGTAAACACAAGCAAAGGAAAGAAACTAAAATCCAAGTGTCCCATTAGGTGTTCCAAACAAACTATAATGTGAAACTGATGTTAAGTACATTTTGATAAGAGATCAGTACTGAAAAACTCATGTTGTGGTACGTTTTAAATTTTCTAGTAGATTTTTTATTGGTGTAGGCAAAAGGTTACTATGCAAGAACTTTAAGAAAATGTTTGATATTGTCTTTAATGAGTAGAAAAGAAAAGGAATTTGTTCACCTGTCTACCAAACGAAAAAAAACAGCTGAAGGCCCCTAGTGATTGGGTAGTGTGGCGGTAGTGGTGGTGGTGGCTATCTTGAAGTGAAATATCTATAAATCTCCAAGGTTCACTTTGGAAGGAAAACCTCAGGTGGAAAGAGGCAGCTGATCAAACAGCTTCTAGCCTTTCTCTCTGGCTTTCCCTCTTCCTCTGTGAGTCTCTCACTTAGAGTACTATTGCATTTCCAAAGTATAAGATGGACTATTGCCAGGGCCAACAGTTTCCAGTAGAACTGAACACTCCCCTCCATTAAAACAGGGAGATAGTTTCAAAGGGTATATTTATTGAGCCCATTAGCTCCTTTGGCACAGCAGCCCAACTGAAAAGTCAGGGACAGAGGTTCTGAGTTTTGTTATAATAAAGAAGGGAAGTTGTTGCTGCTGCTGTTGTTTCTTCTCATCAGCACCTTTCTATAGAATCAGAAGGAAAACTGTTAAAAAAAAAAAAAAAAAACCAATAAAAAAAGTGCAGCAAGAAGAGATTTGGTGAAATGTCAGGATTCCTTGTAGATGGGGATAGCTATGATGTACTACTCCTTTCCATTTGCCTCACACACAAAAACTGCATCGATAAACTAAGTGTCGTATTTACTTCTACACATGAATTCAATATAATGTTGAATGATATCTGAAAACATTTTGCAAATCACAGATGCAGTCCGGAGTCTCTCAGTAGTCTCCACCTCAGTTCTCACACTGAAGGAATATATAACTATAACGTGTGAGGATGCACTCAGATGTTAACTCTCAAGCCCAGTCCACATGGATCTAGATTTCATTTCTGAGAGAGAAATCAGGAAGTTTCTTCTAACTGATTTTGCTACCTTTGGAGTAGAAGGAGATAGAGGAAACAAAGAATAACTTGAGTTCTGACAATGCAAGGACAAACAGACTAAATTAATTAAAATAGATGCTTACAAAATCTAAAAGTACAAACCGTGCTTTTGAAAACTATTTGGCTTTTCTATGCAGGATGGACAACATGTTCATATTGGACTATAATGTATGTTATTGAGCACCTAAAATATGCTATTGGCACTGCTAATTAATACTCATGCAATAGGCACTTGCAGTGATTTGTGTATCCTCATCTTGCCTTCCTAAATTCCTCCAAAGCCAAAACTGCTTTATGTTTTTTCTGTAGTCCCTCTGCTCAAGAGTTGCTTTTCCAGGCCTGGTGCAGTGGCTCATGCCTGTAATCCCAACACTTTGAGAGGCCAAGGCGGGTGGATCATCTGAGGTCAGGAGTTCAAGACCAGCCTGGCCAACATGGTGAAACCCCCATCTCTACTAAAAAAAAAAAAAAATAGCCACACATGATGGCGAGTGCCTGTAATCCCAGCTACTTGGGAGGCTGAGGCAGGAGAACTGCTTGAACCCAGGAGGCGGAGGTTACAATGAGCTGAGATCATGCCACTGCACTCCAGTCTGGGCAACAGAGCAAGACTCCGTCTCAAAAAAAAAAAAAAAAAGAGTTGCTTCTCTAAACTTGCACAAGACATCCTTACTCATATACTCCTGGGAACATTCTATTTGTATTGTAGTGCCTGCCAAAGTGTCCAGAACAACCCAAGACACAGAGAAGGCACTTGAAATGTGTTGGTATCTGGAATGTGATTGGCTGACTTGGGAGCCAGTGGTGTGCTGGGCCTGCTCCTATGAGCTCTGCAGATCAGACTGTGACACGTCTCTACATTCAATCACCTCATCTTCATAGTTTGAAATTGGCTATGGTGGGAGGGAGCATTTATACCACAGAAATTGTCCAATTGGTTTTAAGCATTCTGAATATAAGCAATCTGTCTTCCATTTCTCTTTTATTCCATCTAGCTTTTAAGCTGTTTTGAATTTAGCAGTCAAGAATTTCATGTGAGAATTGTACTTTGAGTAACTACATTTATCTTTTAAAAAAATCATTTTTAGTTTTTGAAGAAAAGCAATTATTTTGTACATACCTTTTTATATCATTTTAGACAATCATTTTCAAATAAGACAGTTCTTTGCTTAGTTTATATAAGTAGTAATTACAAAGAAAAATGTGCTGTTCTATTTTTCCCAAAATTGTTATTAAATAATCAGTAAAGATGCTAAAATTTTCTTTGTTTAATGACCAGGAAATTAAATTGTCTAGTTTGTAAAGTTAGAAAATAACTGTGTATTAGAAAGTTAATTCCATTGCATTAAAATTGGTGTTTTTGGAAATTATCTTACTATCTGACGAAATAATTGCTATTTTAGCCAAATGCATAACACTTTCTGTCTAAAATGGCCTTTGTAATATTAAAATATGAACATTCATTTTCCAGAACATGCATTGGAGAGACTACGGTATTTTGAAATTAAATTAGTTGTTTAACAAAGAGAATAATACCCCATATCCTTTGGAAAGGCAGTAGAGTGCTGTCCTTAGGAACAGAAAATGTGGGGCTAACTGCCAGAATTCTAGTCCCAGAAACTCCCTTTATTAGCAGTGTGAGTTTAGGAAAGTCAGATAACTTCTGAGTACCTCAGTTTCTCCCTGTGTTCAATGGGGATGGTAATAGAACTGGTTTCATACGTTTATGGTAAGGATTAAGTGCTGCACATGTAAAACACTTGGAATAATACCTAGTAATCAATAAGTGTTCAATAAATGCTAATTATAGCCAGGAGTGGTGTGTTTGTAGTCCCAGATACTTAGGAGGATTGCTTGAGCCCTGGAGTTGGAGGCTGCATGTTCATTCCTTTGCACTCCAGCCTGGACAATGAAAGAGTGAGACTTTGTCTCTAAGAAGGAAAGAAGGAAGGAAGGAAGGAAGGAAGGAAGGAAGGAAGGAAGGAAGGAAGGAAGGGAGGGAGGGAGGGAGGGAGGGAGGGAGGGAGGGAGGGAAAGAGGGAGGGAGGGGAGGGGAAGGGAGGGAAGGGGAGGAAAGACAGAAAGAAAGAAAGAAGGAAAGAAAGAGAGAGAGAAAGAAAGAAAAAGAGAGAGGAGAGAAAAAGAGAAAGAAATAAAGAAAAAAGAAAGAAAAAGAGAAAGAGAGGGAGAGAGAAAGAAAAAGAAACAAACAAAGAAACAAAGAAAGAAAGAAACACTAGTTACTATTATTTCTAGCATCTATGTGTCTCAGCCCAGAGTCATACATATACTGGGTACTTAATAAACGTTTCTAAATTGGTTAATTAAATGACCGGTTACTAGCATAGAGCAAAGGAATAAAGACTGAAAACCTACTGGGTACCAAGAACACAGCTGTGAACAAAACAAGCAAGTTCCCTGAGCTCATAAAGTTTTTAGCTCTGTGTTGTTCAGCCCAAAAATATATAAGGAACTGATATTAATGTTTAGGAATTAAAAGAAGGATCTGGATTATAAACTCCCTGACAGCATATATTAAAGACTGTATTAAAGGCAAATGAATTCAAATATAAAAATTTGGCTGTGTGTAACAGAGACCCAAAAGAGCTTTTGCGGAAAGGAGATAGAAAATTCTTTCTCATGTAACAGTCCAGAGGTGGGCCATCCAGGGCTCTGCAAAAGTCTAGGTTCTCAGATGCTTCTGTCTTATAGCTCCACCACTCCAGGGTATTCTCTGTCTTCATGGTCCTGGATGGCTCCTCACCACGCCCAAATTCCAAGCAATAGATTGGAGGAAGGAGGAAGAACATACCCCCTCCATTAAGAGGGAAGTGAATATGAAATTATTTTCTTCACTTCTGGGCATAGCCTATTATGTTCACATAGCCACCCCATCTACAAGGGAGCCTGGCAAAATATTTTTATTCTGAGGGCCCTTGTACCCACCTAAAATCGAGAAGATGCAAAAAAAACAAATCTTGAAGGACAGCTAATAGTCTCAGCCACGTTCCATCCCTTTTATGAAGTTTTGCCAAATTCTCCAGAGAAACCCTCGTTCGCCTCCCAAGGAATGTGATCCCAAAGCCTCTTCCAGTTCCTGCATCTAGATCAAGGTTCTCTGGGTGAGATTAACTCTCTACATTAGGTCTCAATGTGGCTCTTTGGGATATGGTGGCTATAAACTAACAGACAAGTAATCCACCCAATATAAAATGAAGGACAGGAGCAAGATGACAAAAGTAAAAACTTCTGTTAGAAGAGGGAAAATGAGAAACACAGCTGTCATCGATCTATAAGATTTATCAAGTCCTGTTGGAAAGGAATTGTGGAAACTTCCTACCCTGCTGGTGGTATGAATCCTTCAGTCAGCCCATTTGGGAACCGTGGCTTCAGCTCTCTGGGAGGATTTGTTGTCCATTGTCTTCGATGGCCACATCTAAAGCGGACTTTGGATGGTATTCCTTCTTGGGGCTACCACAGCTTTCACACACTGCTTCTTGCTGATGTCGATTTATGGATTCAGGAGTTGGGTTGGTTTGTCACAGGTTTTAGCCAGCCAGTTTTCTGGCTTCTTTGGCAATACAATTCCTTTATAACTAGAAGAATGCCTTCCAGGCCATTTGTTTCTGCTCAGTTCCATGTGTGGGTAATCACAGCCAAGGCTCTGGTCTTGATATAGATGTTAAGACTAAGAGTTCTGATTTTTATAAGGACCTCAGTGTCACTTAGATTCCCAGAGGAAGGATTCTTTCATAGTGGAGACTCTCTTCCACTTTTCTGCCCCACACTGGGAAGGGTATTAAATTACAGTCCACTCTTCTGTCAAAATAGTGCCTGTGGGTGATATGCTCACTCCTAGCCACAGCCACTCAGCTCCTGGTCGTAGAGCCAGTCTTCCAAGCCGTCCTTAGGCCCACAAGCATGTGTCAGCTCTCAGCCTGAGCTTGCCAATAATTATCGCTCTTTTAGCCCCACTCTTCAACAATGTCTGTTTCCTTTCACTAAGCCTCCACATAAAAGATGTCCTCTCTTGAGGCTGTCCATATAGGCTGTCCACATAGCCACCTGTGCTGCAGAGGTCACACTCACAACTTTAGAATGGAGTTCTTCTGTGCTTTCTTGCCCAGAAACATGTCTCCTTTGGCCCTGCCCAGCACCTTAAGCTACAAGGCCCAGGGAAGTAATCGTGCTGGGCAGGGAACTAAGATACATTCAGTAACGAAAAGACTTATTTTACTTTATAACTTTTATGAATGTATATGAATATATACACACACATATATACATAGACATATAAACGTATTTTATATATGTATATATGCAAGCTGGGCCATTCTAGTTCTCTTTCCTCACTGCACTATAAAGGGCTGCTCTGTAAGAATCTACCTGGTAAGAGGCAAGCATGAATCTTTCTGTTTGTCAGGCTCCAGACTTCCCAGAATTCTCTTCCCACACTCTGCCTAAGGGGCAACAGTGGAGCAGCTTGCAGATGTTCTAGCATAGCAAGCCTCCAGGATGAGGCCCCAGTCTCTTCTTCCAGGGGACTCGTGGTGTTTAGGACCTCTTACTTGTCTTGGAGAAATGCTACAGCACTACTTACCACAGCACTGCTTACTGAAAATGTACTAGTCCTATGCATTCTCTGTTTCAAAAGATTCTTGAATGTCTAATCTTTTCCCTATATAAGTGGTAATGTGGGGGATGGAATCAGGACCACTGAGCTACATTTCAGGAAGTCCTGCAGAATTTCTTTAAAATGTGGGGGTATCTTAGCATCTAGTGGTCCCAACTTTGAGGCTTTAGCTGAAATCTGAGATAAGTCTCATTCAACATTCTGTTGCTAATAATAGTAATAATAATAATTGTAATAATAAGAATATTAGCTAACTTTAAAACAGTGTGCTGGGCAGTGCTCTACACACTTTAAATTTATTAAATGGTTAACCATCTAACAATCATATAAAGTTGGGTCCCCATTTTACAGATGCAGAAACTGAAGCATAGAAAACCTAAGTAACTCGCCTAAGTTAGCATAACTACTAATGGCAGTTCGGATATTTAACGCCAGGCAGCCTAGCTGTAGGGTTTGTACTCTTAACTATGACACTTTCCTGCCTCTTCCTGTTAAGAGATTTGGACTTTAGACTGAGAGTGATAGAAAGAACTTGACTCTCCCTTTATCTATAAAAAAAGGATAATAAAACATACCTTGTACAGTGATTTGAAGGATTAGATAATATAGATGAAGATTCTGGAACCAGCCCTGATATTGAGTAGTAACTTGATAATAAATGATAATAATTATTATTTTTTCCCTTTCTGTGTGAGGTAGTTGATGCCAAGCCAGCACCAAGAAAATCTAGAACAGTCATTCTTGTAGAATAAGAAAGTGCCCATTCCACTCCCCACTCCCAAATTCCCAAATCAGCTGGCAGAGATATTCAGCCCCACATATGATTCCCCTAGATAATAATGAAAGGATAGGAATTGTGTTTCAAATCAACATACAGCCAGCCGTGACCATATGCAATAGTTCGTTTCCCGTTAGGTTTATTACTTTGAAGACTGCGCCAAAGAACCAGAGACAAGTTGGAGAAACTGAGACTGAGTCTAAACCCTCTGATTCTCCTTGATCAAGTTCCCATCACAGAGTCTGGAGAAAGGCTGTTAACTTTTATCTTCCCTGGCAGGCAAAGTGTCAGAATTAGTCCCAGACAAAGGACTATGCAAAAACACTAGATGATGTAAACCCCCTCCATGGGTTGAGTTGACCAGAGCATTAGACAATTCCAGTTTGAGGCTGGTGATACCTGTACAAACCGGATAGGTTTTAGTTTCTACAAAGCCTGGGGTATTAGGAAAAGACTTGATTACCTGTGGCTTAGTTTGAATTAGAAGGCAAAACAATTACACAAAAGCCCTCATTTAACTTTTAAGTGGTATTAGGCCCACACTAACTTTATGACACTAGGTTGCTTAAAACGAATGGCAGTTTCTCACATGCCTTAGAAAAAAATGTGGGGCTTATATGTTTTTCCAAATTATGAGGCACTGTGCCCAAGACAGGCAGATAGAAAGGGTACATTAGACAAAACCAAATGTACCAGTCACTCAAAGCAAGTGACAAGAGAAGAGCAATTTCATTTTTATTTTTCCACTCACATAGAAAGGCAGTGTGGCATAAGGGAAGAGCCAGGTTTCGGTCCTGTTTCTGCTGCTCAAGTTCCATGTCATTAGGAAAAAAAAAAAAAACAACTGAATTACTTTTTGTCTTACTTTCCTCATTTATAAATAGTAAGCTGGACTCTAAAAATCTGTTTGAATTCTTGGGAATTTAATTATTATCACTCAAATATGGGAGATTTGAACATGAAAACAAAGAATGTGAAGAATAGAGATTGAAAGACAACTGGAAAAGTAAGCATCGCCAATCTGCAGATGAGCGCTTCCTTCCTCTTTGTAATTTGATAGTCTTCAGGAAACTGTCTGGTTCCCAAGGGGAGAGGAATGAGGGTGTGTGCAGGGGAAGTCACACAGGCAACTTAAATGTTTTCCCAGAACCCATGGATAGTCCATGCACTTCGATTTGTGCGATGCAGTCTCTCTAGAGAATATATATATATATTTATAATGTTCTCTAACTTTGTGTGACCTCACATATTTAAAATTCCTGTATCAATTTGACTCACTGCCACATTTCCTTCTGTGGGGAAGAGGAAGCTACAGACCTCAAATGGCTTTTACATTGCCGGCATGACAAGTTCCCTGTACATATGGAATAGCAGATGCCTATGTATATATATATATATTCCTTTTCAGTGCGTACATAAATATTAAATTCTCTATTTCTCTAGCACCTAGAAAAATTCAGAAACTTAAGGTTGATTCAAAAATCAAACCAATATTAAACTAATATTTTGTAATTGAGTAACTCTACCTGTGCTGATACTGATTCTGGTGGGCACTTATAGCTCTCTGGTTGCCAGGGACATCTTACCAGGAGTGTACTAAAAAATAAAATAATGCACTGGCTTTGCAGTATGAAAGCAGCGTCCATAAACCACAATATCTCTCTGTGAGGAAATAGACTTCCTGTCTGCTATTTTTTTATGTGCCCAATTAAGTGCAGATTTTTGGCTGCATGAGCAACATAACTGCAGCATTTTTCCAGAAAAACCAAGAAATGAACTAAAAACTAAAGAAAAGTCTTATAAGAAGATGGTCTGATAAGTGCTGTGAGATAAAATTTTTTTTCTCATTTTATACCTGATACCTTCCAACCTGGACGTGACCAGTCTCAAGCTTAGCTACTTTAGATCACATTTCTAATGCTCTGGCAGCTCCTCACCCCAGAGGGATTTTCACTGAGTAAGGTGAGTACATTTCAAGGCCTTATATGGAATAAAATAGCAGGGTATGAAGGCGGGGTGGGTGATTCAGTGAGTAGGGTGTCTGAGAATTAAAAATCAAAGTTAACTGAGATTCTTTGATGGAAAAATAGGGGCTAGATAACCTGGTTCAAAAGAAATAAGAACCTGCCTAAAACCTAGTTGCCACAATAAAATCAAACCTGAACATGTGAGGTCTGAAAAAGTTCATAGATTTTAACTTTAGTACTGAGTTAAACACACCTGTGTACTTTCTGGCTTAAGTCAGAAGCAGAAAACTAGAATCCTGTGAGAAACACTCATTTGGAAGACAGGACAAGTTAAGTGCCCAAGCTTCACTGATACTCTCTCTGCTACCTCAGAGAGTGCAGCTCCTTCAAATATACACTCCTCAAATCTGGATAAAAGCTTCGGTGGGTCCCACTAGGTCAATCTTTTCCTGTAAGTAGTCATCAAAAAAAAGTACCTCGGTGCTAGAGTTGGAGTCAGCACCAGTCTTGAAGACATAAACAGTCTTGACAGCACCTAGAATAAACATGTGCTTGTCTGTATCATAGAAGGACAACAGATACATTTTAAGGGGAAAGCCCAAATCAGCTGGAAATACCTTTGCTCTGATGTGAGGGCTTGAATCCTCCCCTAGAACACAGGTAAATAGATTTAATATCTTCTGAGTTTTTGGCTTCTTTACTCTGGATTACCAAATTTTGGAATTGCTATTAAGAATGAAGATACAGAACCCATCAAGGTTTAATTGCTTAGTCTTTCTGCCCTGGGTAAAATGTAGGTAAGATTTTCTTCTACGTCTCTCCCAATCTAGTCCTTTGACCAGTTCTAACTCAGTGAAATACCCCTAAAGCTTTACTGTTCGTTTGGTCAAGCTACTTTTCTTCTACCTTCATTTTCCTCATCCGTTAAATGTGTTTGGTAATGTATACTGTATATACTTTATACTCCTGGGATGATAGCAAATCAGATAATATAGCTAAAAATGAAGTCTACAAAAAAAATGAGTCTTTGCATGTGTAAAATTCAGCCTCCTCATGGTAAATCCAAACCACAATTGTTGTTTTCAAAATAAAGATTATAAATAGAAAGCAAAATAAAAACACATGCCTCAGTGTAGACTGGTATGAGAATTTTAAGGCATGCATAGGTTCAATGGAAATGCTGACTTATCAGAAGCAGGGAAAAAAAGCCCAGTGCCTGAGCCATAGTGTCAATAGCTAGGCTTATGTTTATAATTAATGGGTTGCGGCAATTCTGATAACATTATTGCATGTTTATAGATGAATGTATTTTGCTCTACCTCTTGTCATTTGAAGTTTCAATATAAGCCCTGGTTTGAGTCCTAGTTTGAAATGTAAATGATATTGGACATGAAATAAGCTTCTTAAACCCGCATCACACCCTCTCAGGAGTCTACATGCCTTGTGAACCACTACACTGCTGTTCAAAAAGTGCCCTTCTAATGAGGCCAATTCTGACTAATGCATATTCCAAGAATAATACTTGACCAAAATTGAATGCAATTCTCGTGTACTTATTATAATTTTCTATGACAGAGAGCAGAGGCTAAATTCGGTGAAAGTATTGTTTTTCTTCTAAGCTTGGGTCTGCCAAAATTTGTTTTTATTCCCCTCCCTAATCCCCCCGCCCCCCCGCAGTTATTCCTTCTGGAATGATGTGTTGATCATGACCAACTGGGAAACTTGCTGGCATCTGTATTGTGCCCGTTTTCACCACTTTCCTTTGCCCCTTAGATAGGTTTTTGGTACAGAACGGAAATATTCCCAAGTGGAAGAATCATTAACAACCACAATGTCAAGAGCAGCCTTGAAAGGAGGCATCTGCTATTCCATATGTACAGGGAACTTGTCATGCCGGCAATGTAAAAGCCATTTGAGGTCTGTAGTTTCCTCTTCCCCACAGAAGGAAATGTGGCAGTGAGTCAAATTGATACAGGAATTTTGAATATGTGTGGTCACACGAAGTTACAGAAGATTATAAATTCAGCATTAGAAACCGAAAGAAAAAAAAAGACAAGCCACAGGTAGTATTCTCATATTATATTTGCTTGAGCTGTCAGAACAAAATACTAGAGAGAAATATTTTTATGACATGGAGACGGATCTGCTTGCCAAAATTATTTTCCACTAACTTAAAGCTATGTATCACTGTGCAAATCTAAACACTCCTATCCTTGTAGCATCAACCATTCATCTTATTACTGGCTAAAGAATGCCCATCTCAAATAAACAAGTGTACAAGGTAGTGAGGTACAGGGTGTGAGGCACCAGAGGAGGAAGGCGCCCGCCTTCAGTGGGATGGATGACATGTGTTCAAAGATCTTGAGTAGCTTTAACTTGACGGCAAGGGCTACAGTCTAGGCTCCAAATATATAGTACACTTCACTCTGTGTTTGTTTGTTAAGAAGTGAGAATTGATCACCAAGTTCAGTGGGAACTGTTGTATGGGGATTCAGTAGGCTTGTATTTTTTTCTCCAAAGCTCACTGCATGTTTTTTCTTGCCTTTCCTGTGACCCTTACTTAGCCATGTCTCCAGATGATCTCCTAGAGCAAATCTTTAAATTTTAAAAACATCCTTGTGAAGTTATGTAGACATTACCATATGCTGAACCTATCATTACTGTTGGACTTTGCTTCCCAGACACGGAGAATAAAGCAGGTGTCTACTTCTTCCTCTTTTGTGGTGTCTTCCCATTTAAATGGCTTATTGATGCAAGTACTGCAGCACAAATGAATGCTGATGCCAGCTCTGCCCATGTACATGCCCACAGAAGAAGCACTGAAGGGATAGCAAGAATGCATCACACACTCCTCATGACTACTGACCCACACTCCTTGTCCTGGTTACCTTAAGAAGTCTCTGTGATCCACTCAGGATTCAGGGCACAAGCAGTATCATGGGCCACTCAGACCTATAGCACCCAGGACACCAGGACAGAATATTCAGAGAGTCCCTTCAAACATGGAGACTATCTTGGCAGTAGTGTTGGAGAATGGTGCCTGTGGTCCACAAATGTTTATCAATGAGGGGAGGCTGATGACAACTGATCTTTATTAAGGGACTTATATCTCACAAGGTGCTTTCACATCAATGATTTAATTTCCACAATTTATCTGGGGTGTAGTTTTTTTTATTATTCAAATGGGAAAACTGGGCAGTGAGTAGTTCACTCATCCAACTAATATTTATTGAGGGCTTGCTATGGACCTCTGTTCTAGGCACTAGGGGTAAAAGAGTAAACAGAACAGACAAATTTCCTTCTCAGGTCACTTGTATTCTAGTTGATGCAGAGAAGGGAGACAGACAATAGACGAACACACAGGTGAAGTCTACAGTCTGTCAGATGGAGATACTGCAATGGAGGGCAATGATTCCCAGTGGGGAATAGGGAAGAGTTTCCATTGTAAATAAGGCAGTCAGAAAGTGCCTTGTTGAAAAGGTGACCCTTGAGTAGATAGCTATAGAAGCTAAAAGAGCTAATCAGACGGACACTCAGAAGCAGCATCCTAGAGGCCCCCTGAAGTGCCAAGCATTACTGCTTGAGTTAGTGAATAGCGGAGTCACCCCCTGATGGATTTTAGGGAAATTTCAATGGAAGGAAACTGGGAAAAGATATTTACCAAAGGAGACAAAGGGATTTCACTACTCACACCCTAGTTTCAGTGTGAGCCAGTTTGATATCAGCTCTAACAAGAAACCAAGGCTGAGCCTGCATGGAGGAGTAATGTGATTGGGTTTGATCTGCCTGAAGTATTGAGAATAGACTCTAGAGAGGCAAGGGTGAAAATATGGAGACCAGTTAGGTGGCCACTGCAGCAATCTAGTGAGAGGTGATGGATCTGGTGTGAGAGAGGAAGACCATGTGAAGCATTACATGAGGAACTGAAAGATTGGAGTTGCAATCAACTGAGATAGGAAAGACTGGAGGTGAAGCAGGATTGGAAAACAAGATCAAAAATTTGATTTTAGACATGTTAAGTTTGAGCTGAGTTAAGTTTATTGACTTAAATGCACCAATACAACAGCCCTGTGAGCTAAGTACTGTGTTACTATCTTCAATTTTTAGTTGAGATAACTTGGCTCAGAGAGTTGTGATGACTTACCCGTAGTCACACAGCAAGCAGATAGTACATCAAGGACTCAAGCAAGATTTTTCAATCTGAGTTGAATGCTTTTCCTAGGACCCCACAGATGAGTACCAAACAGTGCTACCGAAGTAGATAACTGATGAGAATTTCTTTTTCTGTGACTCACTCTAAGGCAGGATTTAAATCAAAACTTTTAAAGTCTAAGATTTAGAGAATCTGCTGTAAAAGGGGAGAAGAGTTTAATTTTATATCCACTTGAGAAACCAAAGTTTTTTTCTTTCACCCTTAAAAAATAAAACAAAACCGAGGTGAGCCTAAGGCCAGCATGCTGATTGCATCAGAGAGACGAAGATGAAATGAGGAGAGAGGAAAACGGGCATGAGCCCTAAATCAGCACGTTAAAGGGGCTGGCCTGGGAGGTTTGTATTATCAGACGTTAGTCAGAGAGGGACTTTCTTTTGCTGGCTTAGAAGAAAACTGAAATAACACATTAATTTTAGGTCCTTTGATATTTTTTCCTGGAGATGTTTTGTTTTGATACATCCAACAACAGCCAAAGAGAAAGCCTCAGAAGACAGACATAATAAAAACAGCTGATGATCCCTAGTCACTAAGCATAAGTTCCACTGTCTTAGTCTTGCCCAGCCCAAATCAGCAGCTCACTAAGAAGCTACAGGACATCCTGGAGGATTTAAAGAGCAAGCCTCAATGTTTCAAAGTTCCAGCATCAGGACTTCTTCCTTCAGTTAATGGCTTTGAGAACTGTTAAAATTCAGATGTTTCTGAGAAGGATAATGTTTTAATTAATAAAGAGATCACTGAGTGTGTTGGAGGGATTTACTAACAGAAAACTAAATGGCTCAGCATCGAAAGCTCTTTCATTTTTGGGCAGAGGGACGGCTGGCTTCCAGTAGTTTATAAACCAGGGTACCATTGTTCGGGTAAAGAAATGAGAGGGAAAACTGGAATGTGTACTTACTCATTCAACCATCATTTATTGTGTAAAAATAGTGACTGATACGGTTTGGCTTTGTGTCCCCACCCAAATCTCATCTTGAATTGTAATTCCCACACCTGGTGGGAGGTGATTGGATCATGAGGTGGTTTTCCCCATGCTGTTCTCCTGATGGTGAGTGAGTTCTCACAAGATCTGATGGTTTAAAAGTGTTTGTCAGTTCCCCCCTTTCTCTCTCCTGCCACCAGGTAAGATATGCCTTGCTTTCTCCTCACCTTGCACCATGACTATAAGTTTCCTGAGGACTCCCCAGCCATGCAGAACTGTGAGCCAATTAAACCTCTTTCCTTTATAAATTACCCAGTCTCAGGCAGTTCCTTATACCAGTGTGAGAGCAAACTAATACAGTGACATAACTATAAAAATTGGGACCTGGAAGAAAGAGTTGAGAGATGCTATAAGTGAAGTACATTTTTCATCTTTTATATTGCAGAGTCAACGATATTGTATAAAACTGACAAATCAGTGAAAATGAAAACAATGACTAGAATGACTAAAAACAGAAATTGCTGGGGGGTTTTGTTTTTTTGTTTTTCTCCCTCTGTTGCCCAGACTGGAGCACGGTGGTGCGATCATGGTTCACTGCAGCCTCGAACTCCTGGCCTCAAGTGATCCTTCTGTCTCAACCTCCCAAAGTGTTGGGATTATAAGCATGAGGCACTGTTTCCTGTCTTAAAAACAGGAATTGTTTAAGGTGGTTTTGGGAGCACATGGAAATCAGGAGGGGGTTAAGGAAGGATGGATAAAATATCTTGCATGTTATGCTCTTCTGTACTGCTTGCCTTTTTTAAAAAAAATGTACGTATGTATATTTCATGTAAAAGTTTGAACTGAATAAGTACATTAATATTTTATTTATGTTAACAAGGCTGTGGGAATAAATGGTGAATAAGACACACTTGTTTTCTGCTATCATAGAAGCTTAAGAACTGAACACTCTGAAGCAGAGGAAGTGTTAAAAAAAATCTGAGGTAAGGTACAACAAAGGAAAAACTGAAGTAGGATAAAAAGAGGGAAACTTGGAGCTTGTTCCTGCTAGTGCCTCATCCCTCTGTCTCTGATTAAGTTAAAATGAAGAAAGGACATGCTATATTCCAATTGGTAGACATTTTGCAGTTGTGCAAAGGCAAGCTATGCCTGGCCCTACCATATTCCTTACCATACTCCTCCTACTTCCTTTTCTTTTTCCTGAAAAGAGCAACTTTGTAGATCCTTTTTTCAGTAGGAATTGATCCACCCACAGAAGAAGATGTGTAGGATGAGTGGGAAACAGGCACAGGAGAGGAACTCAGTTCTTTCTTACATTCATTTCCCTTGGGATTCTGCAACTCTGCCCTGGCTGTATACTTGCTTCCCAGACTCCTCAACTGAATCATAAGGAAGACGTTTCCAAAAATAAATTGCCAGAAGCAAAGGGGTTAATAAATTTAAATATGCTTAAGGTGAATCATTCACAGAACTTCAGACTTCAAACATGGAATCATTAAAACTATTAGTGTTAACTCCAAGTTCTGTTTCTCAAAAGCTGGGGATGTCAGGCTACTTCTGTTTTAATAACTCTGGCAACTCTTTCTTCACATAATTAGTTTCAGTGTATCAAGACTTTTTTTCTTAGCCCATATTGAAGGATTCCTGAAATGGTTAGTTCCTTAGAAAAAAACGTTAAAACTCAATGGCTCAAAGTCACTACCAACCCAGGAGAATCAGCATAATTTTACAATTAGAACTCAGGCTTTTTACTGACAGTAACACTAGTTTACAATTGCACTCATGCATTCATGGTCTGCAATCAACAAAATTTAATTCGTGTCTATTGTGTGACAAAATTACAATAGGTGTAGATACTAGGATGAAATAACAAGTCCTTGCTCTTAAGAACTTGTGAATTGTGAACTTGTAAAATCAAAATAAAGCATAATAAATGCCTTAATAAAGCTGTAATAGAATAATATTTTTGTTTCTTTCCTATTAAGTAAGCTTATCAGCATAGTTTCCCATCAATCTTTATGTATTAGGAAGAGGAGAATGATAGATGCTACTGAAGGGGATTAAAGGGTGCTTCTTTGAAATACGCCACTTTGGTATAAGGATTATTCTGAGCTGGAGTTAGTTGAGAAAAACTGATGCAGGAAAAGCTTTCAACCCTCCCCTTTCAGTATAAAAGCAGGGGACAAATTTTCATTTATAAAAGTGTCTCCCTCTCCCATACCAGGAAGAGGAAGAGGACTCACATCAGTGGAGAAGGCACCAGTTTGAGTACGTAGAGTATGCATAACAAACCCTACTGAACAACCCTTATCTTCCACTCTTTCTCCCCATGTATTTACCTTTCCACAATTTACTGGCCCTAGAAGCCAAACCCTCTCCCTTCCTTTGTCTGGTTTCTTCTCCAGAATGTATTGATTTGTTAAAATGACATATAAACTCATTGGTCTAACCCCTTCTTTGAGTCTTTACCTCTTTTCCATGAAGGCCTCTGTATAGACATAATCAACTCTTCTGTTAATCTGTCATTTGTCGGTTTAATTTGAAGGACCCTAGTTGCCGAGCCTAGGAGAAAAAGTTGTTCTTCCCTTAAGCCACCTATAGATGGATATGATGTAAGAAAAGTCCATTTTATAGAGGAAAACAAAGTAGAAATCCAGTATCATCCAGCTTGCAGGATTATGAGAAGAAATGATGATGAAAATTGAAGAGTTCAAACTCATATAATTGCATTTCACCACTCCCTCTCACCTTGAAAAAGAAGCTTGGTTAGGGTGGGTGTATTCATCTGTTTTGCGTTGATATAAAGGAATACCTAAGACAGGATAATTTGTAAGGAAAAGGGGTTTATTTGGTTCATGGTTCTGCAGGTTGTACAAGAAGCATGATGCCAGCATCTGCTTCCAGTGGGGGCTTTGGGGAAGGCTTAGGGGAGCCAGTATCACATGGCAAGTGGAAGAAAGCAAGAGAGACAGGAGGAGGTGCAAGGCTCCTTTTAACAATCAAATATTTTGGTAACTAATAAGGTGAGAATTCATTCATTACTATGAGGGCAGCACCAACTTGTTCATGAAGGACCAGCCCCCATTGCCCAAACACCTCCTACTAGGCCCCACCTCCAACAATGGGGATGAAATTTCAACATGAGATTTGGAGGGGACAGTTATTCAAACCATATCCATGAGGTACATAGAAATATCACTATAGGTATAAACACATCAGAGATAAAGATAGCCTGGAGATGTTCCATGCCTCTAGTAGAAGCCAGCATTCAGCCTGATATACTGCCAATAATTTATATCGTAATTATTCTTTCTCAAAAGGACTATAGGCATTTATCATCATGACTGTGCATTGAAGAAATGAAAGTAACCAGATTTAGTGGAAATTATTGGACACTGATTGTGAACTCACACTAATTCCTGAGACTCAAAGTCACTGTAGCTCAACAGTCAGAGTAGGCAGTAATGGAGTTTGGGTGATCAATGTAATTTTGGACCAGAGCTGTCTCACTATAGACCAATGGAGCTCCAATACTATCTCATGTTTATTTTCAAATTCCAGAAGGTATCATTGAAATATACATACTCAACAACTGGCAGACTCCCTATATTGGTTTTTTGACCTATGGAATAAGAACTATTGTGATAAGAAAGAACAAGTGGAAATCCCCCAAATCTCCTCCACCTACCAAAATATTAAACCCAAAGTAATACAACAGTCCTGAAAGGACTATAGAGATTAATGACATAATCAAGGAATTAAATGATGGAGAAGTGGTGATACCTAACACAGCCCTGTTCAAATAACCTTTTAATTCTGAGCATAAGACAGACAGATTCTGGAAAGTGACAGTGTATGATCATAAATTCAATAAGATGGTGAGTCAAATCACAGTTGCTCTTACAGATGACAGATGTGGTTTTTTTACTGGAACAAATCAACACATCTCTGCTGGTACCTTGCATGGTTATTAATCTAGTAAATGTTTTGTGGTTGTTATTTAGCCTGTTAGTAAAAACCACCAAAAGCTTTGTGCTTTCAACTTGAAGGAGCACCAATAGACATTCACTATTTTACCACTGTTCAAGGTTATATTAACTCTCAATATCCAATCTTAATCCAAAGGACGTTGGTCGTATCTCCATTCCACAGAACAAACGCTGTGCAAATACACTGAGGATATCATGCTGATTGAATGTGTTGAGTAAAATACAGTAATTACTCAAGAAACCTTGGTAAGATATATACATACTAGAAGATGGGGCATAAATCCTACAAAAATTCAAGGGCCTATGACAAAGTAATACACACCAGATTTACCCTTCTACCACAAGCAGTTGTAAAACTGGACACCATTTTTATTCAGAAATGTACTGGAGGTTCTAGTCAGTGCAAAAAGGCAAGAAAAATGAATTAAAGCCTTAAATATTAGAAAGGAAGTGGTAAAAAGTATTTGAATGATGGTATATGTAGAAATCACAAGGAATTTTTAAAAGTTACCTTGCTAGAATAATTTCAAATGCTGAATTAATAAACTAAATTAATAAATTAACAAACTAATTATATTACATTTGTGGTCCATACAGTATAATAATACTAAGCAATGAAAAGTGGTGAACTACGGATAAAAGCAACAAGGAAGATTCTGAAAACATGATGGGTGTAAGAAGTCACTTACAAAACAGCATAGTGTATGATTCCACAAATGTGAAATTCTAAAATGTGGGAAATATAGTTTGTAGTGACTGAAAGACTACAGTTGTCTCAGCCCAAGAGTGGGGAATTATCAAGTGCAAAGGAAAAGAAGAGAACTTTTTAGGGTGATAGAAATGTTTTATATCTTGACTGTGGTGGTAGTTACTCAAGTGTATATATTTGGCAAAAGTCACCAAACTGTAGACTAAAATGGGTGTATTTTATTGTATTTAATCATACTTCAATTATGTTGCTTTTTATAAATCTAAACCTATTGTCTCAGGGAAATTTTTATTGATACAAGATGAAGAACAAGTTGTTCTCTCTGGTCCTTGTTATCACTAAAAGAGGTCCACTGCTGCCATTGCTTTAGGAGGAATGTTTAGTGACTTAAGTGATTTTCCAATTCTCCCTTCTGGACCAGAACTTTCCTAGCTGCTCTCACAATTGTGTGGAGTCTGATCCCTAGAATAAAGTTTTTATTTCATAATACTCTTAGTTGATCTGCTCCTCCACATGGTTCCTTAACAGGAATCATCCCCAAGTTACACACAGAAAAATATACAGAAGAGTCAAAGGGCTAGCTCTTTGTACTTCCAGGAACTAAACTTCAGATCTTACAACCATGGCCTGGAGAGCCTTCCATAACCCACTAGGTTAGTGTTTTCGGTTTGTTTGTTTGTGGTGAGAACATTTAACATGAGATCTGTCCTCTGGACAAAATTTTAAACGCACACTACAGTATTGTAAACTATAGGCACCAAGCTGTACAGCAGATCTCTAAAACTTACTTTGAAAAACTGAAACTATATACTTGCTGAACAACTACTCCCTATTTTTCTTTCCCTCCCAGTCCCTGGCAAACACCATTCTACTCTCTGTTTCCATGAGTTTAACTATTTTAGATACCCTGTATAAGTGAAATCAGGCAGTACTTGTCCTCCTGTGACTGGCTTATTTCACAGAGCTTATGTCCTCCAGCTTTATCCATGCTGTCACATATGACATGATTCCTTCTTTTTAAAGGCTGACTAATATTCCTTTGTATGTGTATACCACATTTTCTTTATTCATTCGTGTGTTGATGGACATTTAGGTTATTTCCATATCTTGGCTATTATGAATACTGTTGCAGTGAATCAGAAGGTACAGATATCTCTTCAAAGTTCTCATTTCAATTCTTTTAGATATATACCCAGAAGTATGATTCCTAGATTACATAGTAGTTCTAATTTAATTGTTTGAGGAATCTCTGTCCTATTTTCCATAGCAGCTGTACCCCATTTTACATTCCTACCAACAGTGTACAAGAGTTCCAATTTCTCAACATCTTCTCCAATACTTGTTATCTTTTGATTTTTGTTTTGTAATAGCCACCCTAACAGGTGTGACGTGATATCTTATTATAGTTTTGAGTTGCATTTCCCTGATGATTAGTGATGCTGCGTGTTTTGATATATATCTGTTGGACATTTGTATGTCTTCTGTAGAGAAACCTCTCATCAAATCCTTTGTCCATTATTAAAATTGGGTTATTTGCTTTTTTGACATTGAGTTGTAGGAGGTCCTTATTTGTTTTGGATATTAACCTCTTATCAGATATATAATTTACAGATATTTTTCTCCCATTCTGTAGGTTGCCTTTTGACCATTGATTCTTTTGCAGTGCAGAAGGTTTTTAGTTTGGTATAATGCCACTTACCTTTTTTTGCTTTTGTTGCTTGTGATTTTTGGTGTCATATCCAAGAAATATTGCTGAGCCCAATGTCATAAGATTTTGTCCTATGTTTTCTCCCAGGAGTTATTCTATTTCAGTTCTTACATTTAAATATGTAATTTTTTCCATTGATATTTGTGTTTGATGTGTGTTAAGGGTCAAGTTTCATTCTTTTGCATGTAGATATCTAGCTTTCCCAACAACGCTTGTTGAAGACACTTGTTGTTTCCCCATTGTGTACCCTTGGCACCCTTGTTAAAAAATTGTGTCAGTAACATACTATTTTAATTACTATAGCTTTGTAATATATTTTGAAATCAGGAAGTCTAATGCTTTCAGCTTTCTTCTTTTTTCTCAAGATTGCTTTGGCTATTTGGTGTCTTTTGTTGTTTCATGTAAATTTTAGGTATTTTTTCTGTAAAAAAAAAAAAATGCCATTGGAATTTTGAAAGGAATTGCACTGATTCTGTAGATCACTTTAGTTTATGAACATTTTAACAATATTAAGTCTTCCAATTCATGAACATGAAATATCTTTCCATTTATTTGTGTCTATTTACATTTCTTTCATCAATGATTTGTAGTTTTCAAGTATTTCACCTTCTTGGTTAAGTTTTCTTTTTTTTTTTTTTTTTTTTTGAGATGGAGTCTCACTCTGTCCCCCAGGCTGGAGTGCCGTGCTGCAATCTTGGCTCACTGCAAACTCCACCTCCCAGGTTCACACCATTCTCCTGCCTCAGCCTCCCCAGTAGTTGGGACTACAGGTGCCTGCCACCATGCCTGGCTAATTTTTCATTTTCATATTTTTAGTAGAGACAGGGTTTCACCATATTAGCCAGGATGGTCTCATACTCCTGACCTCATGATCCGCCCACCTCGGCCTCCCAAAGTGCTGGGATTACAGGCATGAGCCACCGGGCCTGGCCCTCCTTGGTTAAGTTTATTGCCAAATATTGTATTCTTTTTGATACTCTTGAAAATAGCATTGTTTTCTCAATTTCCCTTTTGGATAGTTCATTGTTAGTGTATAGAACACAATGGATTTTTGTATGTGTATTGTGTATCTTGTAATCTTACGATATTTGTTTATTAGTTCTAACAGTTTTTTTGTGGTGTTCTTAGGGTTTTCAACATATAAGATCATGTCATCAGCAACATAATTTTAATTCCTCCCTTCCTATTTGGATACTTTAATTTCTTTTTCTTGCCTAATTGCTCTGGCTAAAGTTCAGTACAATGTTGAATGGAAACAGTAAGAATGAGCATCCTAGCCTTGTGCCTGATCTTGGAGGGAAATCTTTCAGTTTTTCATCACTGAGTGTGATGTTAGCTGGGGGATTTTCATATACGGCCTTTGTTGTATTGGGGGATTTTCATACATGACCATTGTTGTATTGAGGCAAATCCCTTCTATACCTAATTTGTTGAGAGTTTTTATCACGAAAGGCTGTTGAATTTTGTCAAATGTTTTTTCTGCATCTAGTAAGATATGAATGTGACTTTTATTCTTCAGTCTGTTAGTATGGTTTATTACATTAATTGATTTGCATATATTAAGCCATCCGTGCATCCCAGGGATAAATCCCACATAGTCCTGCTGATCCTTTTAATGTGCTGTTGAATTCAGGTTGCTAGCATTTTGTTAAGGATTTTTGCATCCATGTGCCTTAGAGATATGGGCCTGTAGTTTCTTTTCTTATAGTGTCTTGGTCTCACTTTGGTATCAGCATCATGCTTGCTGCATAAAATGAGTATTGAGATGTTCCCTTCAGTTTTGGGAAGAGTTTAAGAAGCACTTGTGCTAATTCTTCTTTAAATGTTTGGTAGAATTCACCAGCTAAGCCATCTGGTCCTAGAGTTTTCTTTGTTGCATACAACCTACCAAAATTGAATCATGAAGGAACAGAAAACTTAACCAGACCAATAGCAAATAATAAGATTGAGTCAGTAATCAAAATCTTCACAACAAAGAAAAGCCCAGACCAGATGGCTTCATTACCAACTGTATTAGCTTTCTATTGCTGTGTACCAAATTACCACTAATTTTTGGCTTAAACCAACACAGTTTACTATCTCACACCTTCTATGGGTCAGGAATTTGGTATGTTTTAGCTGAGTTGTCTGCACAGAGTCTTATAAGCCTGAAATCAAGATGTCAGCTGGGACTCTGTTATCATCTGAGGCTCAAGGTCTTTTTGTGAGTTCAATGATTGTTAGCAGAATTCTATTCCTTGTGGTTGTAGGACTTTCTTACTGACTGTCAGCCAGAGGCTGATCTCACATTCTAGAGGCCGATCTCACATTCTAGAGGCCACCCTCGGTTTCCTGCCACATAGTCCTCTCTATAACATGGTAATTTACTTTTTCAAGGCCAGTAGGGAAAGCACTTCTCTTGCTTCAAATCTCTCATGCCAGTCTGTTAAGGAGTCTTAACTAATATAATATTATCACAGGAATATTTGCACACAATAGAATCTAACTAAGGAGGTGACTATCATATTCGCAGTCCCTGCTCACACTCACTTTATTATTTTAGCATGTAGTTCATCAGGAAATAATGCAAAAGATATGAGTATTAGAAGATGGATAGAATTTTGTTAGAGGAAGAGGAAAGGGAAAAAATGTCAAGCAAGAGAACAATATAAGGTATTAGATGTTTGTTGTAGGGCTGAGAGAAGAATGCAGTTGGCATATTAAAGCTGCAAGCCAAATGAAGTAGGGTGTTTATATGGAAGATCATGAGAAGCACAACTATAATTGGAGATTGCAGTCTGATCCCGAGAGCTTTTACTACTATCCCAAGAAATATGCTCTCCAACAGAAAGTCAGATAGGAAATGATGTATGGATTTTCAGTAGAGAGAATGATACAACAAAAATATATTTTAGGGTGATAAGATAAGACAAATGAATAAAATTTAGAAATAATTATTATAGCTATAAATCATCTGATTGAGGTATAAGGTGGCAGGTATTTAGCTAACTGTGGGAGTGGAAAAAAAGGAGAAATATGAGACCATTTAAGGAAAATATGAGGCAGTTTTGTCCCTTCTATATATAATCTTTTCCAACTCACATTGTCCTTGGATTTTATAACTTTGCTGACATCTACTTTTAGCTTTATATTCTAAGAATCAGTATCAGCTTATTGCCATATATGTGAATAATTAATAATAAAAATGCCTACCACTTATTGCAGGCTATTCAATTTTCACAACAACCCTATAAAATAGGTGGTATTTTTGTCTCCATGAGAAAACTAAAAAATAGGTTGAACAACTCACACAGCTAGTTAGCATAAAGTTCTAAATTGGATTCAGGTCCTTCTCTCTCCTAAACAGCATGATATACTGCCTCTGTAAATTATTAAGTTTACTGAGCCTCTGTACACAAAGTAGTGTAAAGGTTTGTTTTACTTATGATCACTGTTATTTAGCATTCTATTGTCTCAAGAAAAGTCTGATCCATAGAATGCCATCCAGAGGAGGGTCAAAGCATAAAGAAATATTTACTTACTAAATTGAGATTAAAAATAAAGATAATTATCCTAATAATTTAATTTTAAAATTGTTTTTAAAAATAGACATATTAAAATGTATGTCTTTATCATGTACAATATGATGCCTGAAGTATAAAATATTGTGGAATGGTTCAATCGAGCTAACTAACAAATGTGTTAGCACACCTAGTTTTTTTGTGGTGAGAACACTTAAAAGTCATTCTCAGAATTTTTTTAAGAATACAGTACATTAACTACAGTCATCCTGCTATACAATAGATCACTGGAACTTACTCCTGCTATCTAACTGTAAATATGTATTCTTTGACCAACATCTCCCCAACCCCCAATTACTTCAGCCTCTGGAAACCACCATTCTATTCTCTATTCTGTGAGGTCAGCTTTTTTAGATTCCACATGAGTGAGATCTTGCGGTATTTGTCTTTCTGTACCTAGCTTATTTCACTTAACACAATGTCCTCCAGACTCATCCATGTCATTGCAAATGGCAGAATTTTCCCCTTTTTTGGCTAAACAGTATTATATTATGTATATACGCCACATTTTTTAAATCCATTTATCTGCTGGTGGACACTTGAGTTGCTTCCATATCTTGGCTATTGTGAATAGTGCGGCAATAAACTTGGAAGTGTAGATGTCTCTTTAACATACTAATTTCATTTCCTTTGGATGTTCACCCAGTAGGAGTATTATTGGATCATACTTTTAATTTTTTCAGGGACCTCATGCTGTTCTCCATAATGACTATACTCATTTACATTCTCCAAAAAGGTGTGCAAGGGTTCTCTTTTCTCCACATATTTGCCAATGCTTGTTATCTTTAGATAATAGCCATTCTAACAGGGGTGAGATGATATCTCATGGTGGTTTCGATTTGCATTTCCCTAATGATTAGTAACGTTGAGCATTTTTTCATATACTTGTTGGCCATTTATATGTCTTCTTTTGAGAAATGTCTATTGAGGTCTTTTTCCTACTTTTTAATCACGTCATTTGTTTTCTTGCTGTTGAATTGTTTGAGTTGCTTATATATTTTGGATATTAACCCCTTATCAGATATATGGTGTACAAATATATTTTCTTATTCTGTAGGTTGCCTCTTCACTCTGTTGATTGTTTCCTTTGCAGAAGCTTTTGGTTCAACATAATCCCATTTGTTTATTTTTGTTTTTATTGCTTGTGATTTTGAGGTCATATCCAGAAATTCATTTCCCAGACCAATTTCATGGAGCTTTTCCCCTGTATTTTCTTCTGATAGTCTAATAGTGTTGGGCCTTCTGTCTATTCTGAGTTTACTTTTTATATGATGAAAGATAAAGGTCTAATTTCATTCCTCTGCATATAGATGTCTAGTTTTCCCAGCACTATTTATTGAAGAGATTGTCCTTTCCCCATTGTATTTTCTTGGCAACTTTGTCATAAATCAGTTGGCCATAGGTGCCTGGATTCATTTCTGGGATCTCTTTGCTGTTCCATTGGTCCATGTGTCCATTTTTATGCCAGCGTGTTATGCTGTTTTTGTTACAGTAGCTTTGGAGTGTATTTTGAAATCGGGTAGTGTGATGGCTCCAGATTTGTTACTTTTCCTCAAGATTACTTTGACCCTTCAGGGTCTTGTGTGGATCTGTACAAATTTTAGGATTGTTTTTTCTATTTTTTCAAAGAATGCCATTTTGATAGGAACTGCATTGAATCTGTAAATTGATTTGAGTACTATGGACATTTTAACAATATTAATTCTTCCAGTTTATGAACACGGTATATCTTTCCATGTATAAGTGTGTTCTTCAATTTCTTTCATCAGTGTTTTATTGTTTTCAGTGTGGAGAGATAGTTCACTTCCTTGGATACATTTATTTCTAAGTATTATATTTTCTTTTTAGCTATTGTAAATGGATTGTTTTCTTTATTTCTTTTTCAGATCGATCGCTGTTAGTATATTGAAATGCTAATCCTGCACCTTTACTGAATTTATTAGTTCTAACAGTTTTTTGGTGGAGTCTTTAGGGTTTTCAATATGTAAGGTCATGTCATCTGCAAATAGGAACAATTTAACTTCTTCCTTTCCAATCTGGATTTCTTTTATTTCTTTCTCTTGCCTAACTCTGCTGGTCAGGACTTTCAGTATGATGTTGAATAGAAGTGGAGAATGGGCATCCTTGTCTTGTTCCAGAAAAGCTGTAAACTTTTTCCCATTCAGTATGATGTTAGCAGTGGGTTTGTCATATATGTTCTGCATTATTCTGTGATACATTCCTTCTATGTCTAATTTGTTTTAAGTATTTTTATGAAGGGATGTTGAATTGTGTCGGATGTTTTTTTCTGCATCTATCAAAGTGATCATATATATGGTTTTCATCCTTTATTTTGTTAATGCGACTTATCACATTTATTGATTTGTGTATGTTGAACCATCCTTACATTCCTGGGATGATTCTAACTTAACCATGGTGAATAATCTTTTCAATGTGCAGTTGAATTCAGTTTGCTAGTATTTTGATGAGGATTTTTGTATCTCTGTTTATCAGGGATATTGGCCTGTAGTTTTGTAGTTGTTGCTGAATCTTTGTCTAGTGTTGGTATCGGGATAATGCTGGCCTTGTAATATGAGTTTAGAAGTAGTCTGTCCCTTTAATTTCTCTAAAGAGTTTGAAAAGAATTTGGTATTAGATCTTTTTTAAATTTTTGTAGAATTCAGCATTGAGGCCATCAGGTCCTGGGCTTTCGTTTGATGGGAGACTTTCTATTACTGATTCAATCTCCTTACTCATTATTGGTCTGTCTAGTTTTTCTATTTCTTTGTAATTCAATATTAGTAGGTTGTACAGAAATTTATCCACTTCTCCTAGGTTTTCTAATTTGCTGGCATTATTATTCATAATATTCTCTAATGATCCTTTTTATTTCTGTGGTATCAGTTGTAATGTATCTTTATTCATCTGTGATTTTATTTGAATCTTCTCTTCTTTTTTCTCAACCTAGCTAATGATTTTTCCATTTTATCTTTTAAAAAGCACTCTTGGCCAGGTGCAGTGGCTCACACCTGTAGTCCCAGCACTCTGGGAGCCCAAGGCAGGTGGATCACTTCAGCCCAGGAGTTTGAGACCAGCCTGGCCAACATGGCAAAACTTCATCTCTGCTAAAAATACAGAAAAATTAGACAAGCGTGGTGGCATGTGCCTGTAGTCCCAGCTACTCATGAGGCTGAGATGGGAGAATCACCTGAAGTCAAGGCTGCAATGAGCTGTGATCATGATCATGCCACTCCAGTCTGGGTGATGGGAGTGAGACCCAGTCTCAGAAAAATAAAAAATAAATAAAAATTTAAAAACCAACTCTTCATTTTGATATTTTCCATTATTTTCCTAGTCTCTATTTCATTTATTTCTGCTCTAATCTTTATTATTGCTTTCCTTCTACTAAATTTGGGCTTAGTTTTGTCTTATTTTTCTAGCTCCTTAAAATATAATGTTAGATTGGTTGAGAGCCTTCTTTTTGATATAGCTGTTTATTACTATAAACTTCCCTCTGAGAATTGCTTTTGCTATATCCTATGGGCTTTGTTGTGGTATATTTCAATTTTTATTTGTCTCAATAAATTTTATAATTTCCATGTATTTGTGACTTTTCCAAAATCCCCCTGTTATTTATTTCTAGTTTTATACTATTATATTTAGAAAAGATACTTGATATGATTTCAATCTTCATAAAATTTTATAAACTTATTTTGTGGCTGAACATATAATCTATTTTGGAGGAAGTTCCACATGCAGTGGAGAGCAATGTGTATTCTGCAGCTGTTGGATGAAATGTTTTGTATGTGACCATGATGTTCACTAGGCCTAAAATATAGTTTAAGTCTGATGTTTCTTTGTTGATTTTCTAAATAATTTATCCATTGCTGAAACAATAGGTGTTCGAGTTGCCTACTATAATTACTTTGCGATCTGTCTCTCTCTTCTGATCTATTAATATTTGCCTTATGTATTTAGATGCTCTCATGTTGGGTGCATATATCTTTACAATTGTTATAACCTCTAACTAAATTTACCCTTTTATCAAAACATAATGATCATTTTTGTCTCCTTTCACAATTTTGACTTAAATTCTATTTCATCTGATTTAAGTATAACTATTCTTGCCTTCTTTTGATTTGTGTTTTCATGGAATATCTTTTTCCATCCCTTCACTTTCAATTTACATGTGTCCTTACAAGTGAACTGAGTCTCATTCTCTTCTAGGCAAAAAATGGTTAGGTCTTTTAAAAAAAAATTGATTCAGCCACTCTTTTAATTGGAGAATTTAATCAAGTTACATTCAAGGTAATTATTGATAGGCAAGGACATACTCTTGCCATTTTGTTAACTGTTTTCTGGTTGTTTTGTAGATTCTTTATTCCTTTTTTCCTCTTTTATTATCTTTCTTTTTAGTTAAGTGATTTTCTCTGTAGTGTGTTTTGATTTCTTGCTTTTTATTTTTTGTGTATCTATTATAGGTTTTACTTTGCACTTACCATGAGGCTTACAAAAAACATCTTATAGTTATAACAGGTTACTTTAAGCTGATAAAAAGTTAACTTTGATTGCAAAAACAAAAACAAAACTCTACACTTCACTCTACCCCCACATTTTGACTCTGTTATGCCACAGTTTATAACATTTTATATTTTACAACCCTTGACAACTTACTGTCATCATTATTTTTAATAATTCTGTCCTTTAACTTTTATACTAAATATGTGATTTACATGCTATCATTAAAATATTAGACTATTCCAAATATTACCAGTGTACTTACTTTTACCAGTAAGTTTTACACTTTCATATGTTTTTGTGTTTCTCAATAGCATTTTTTTCTTTCAGTGTGAGGAACTCCCTTTAGCATTTCTTGTAAGATAGGTCTGGGGTGATAAATCTCCCAGCTTTTGTTTGTCTGAGAAAGTCTTTACCTGTCCTTCATTTCTGAAGGACAGCACTGCAGTATTTTTGGTTGGCAGAGTTGTCTTCTTTCAGTGCTTTGAATGTATCATCCCACTTCCTCTTGGCCTGTAAGATTTCTGTTGAGTGTCTACTGCTAAATACATTAACATTCTCTCATAAGTTATTTGCTTCCTTTCTCTTTCTGCTTTCAGAATCCTCTCTTTGTCTTTGATATTTGATGGTTTGATTATAATATGTGTTGGGGTAGTCTTATTTAGATTGAATTTGATTGGTGCCTGTTAACCTCCCTGTACCAGATATTTATATCTTTCTTCAGGTTTAGAAGGTTTTCTGCTATTATTTCCTTAAATAAGCTTTCTACTCCTTTGTCTTTCTCTATTGCCTCTTAAATTCCAAAGACAAATATTTGCTCCTTTGATGCTATCTCATAAATCCTGTAAGCTTTCTTTATTCTTTTTTTCTTTTTGCGCCTTTGATTGGATAATTTCAAATGTCCTGTCTTGAGCTCACCGATTCTTTCTTCTGCTTGATCAAGTCTCCATTGAATTTTTCTATTGAATTTTTCAGTTCAGTTGTTGTGTTTTATATCTCTAAGATTTCTATTTGGTTTTTAAAAATTGTTTCTATTTCTTTGTCAAACTTTGCATTTTGTTCATGAATTGTTTTCCAAATTGTATTTAATTTTCTATCTCTATCTTCACGTAGTTACCTGAATTTCTTTAAAGGGATTATTCTCAATTCTTTATCAGTCACTTCTTAGAGAGCCTTTATTCCTGGGTTCCTTACTAGAGCTTCATTTTTTTTTTTTTTTTTGGCGATGGTGTTATATTTCCCTGATTTGTCATAATTTTCTTGTGTCCTTAAATTGATGCCTGCATATTTAAAGAGGTGACCACCTCTTCCAGCCTTTGCAGCTGCTGTTTGGTGGTAATAGGCCTTTACTATTTAGTCTAGCCTGGGATTCTGTATGTGCTGGCTAACTGCAAACCCGAACAGGCAGGCCTTGGTGTGGGATTCTCTAGTTGAGCTGGGTCACTTCCTGTGTGGAGGATAAATGGTATTGCTAGCTGTGCTCTGTGGTCTGGTGAGACCACTGGCTGAACTCTACCATCAGGTGTAATTGGGCCAGGTTATGGGTTGTCTTTCCTGGCTGGGTGGTACTGTGTTTTGGAATCTCTGCTGTGTTGCCTGCGGCATGATGCTGTTGGCTAGTTTCTCTGCTGTGGTGCCTTCTTTGGTTGGAATGCAGAGCAGCTACCAAGATCCATGCACTGATTCTTATGGAGCCTTACCCACCTTCCGTGGCTCCAACTGACCCCAGGTGGTCCAGCCCTGCTGGCACTCCCAATATTTCTCACATGATGAGACAGGAGCAAGTCTCCAGCAAAGGGT
This sequence comes from Homo sapiens, assembly GCF_000001405.40. Taxonomy (NCBI): domain Eukaryota; kingdom Metazoa; phylum Chordata; class Mammalia; order Primates; family Hominidae; genus Homo; species Homo sapiens. Next base: position 28,067,377 of record NC_000012.12, on the reverse strand, counting down.
CTCAGAACGGTACAGATGCTGAATGTTCACCTCCAATTCATCCCTCACACTGCAGAAGCTGTGGACCCAGGAGAATTTTCTGCATGTGGTGCCATGCCAGTCTGGAAAAGGGGGACTGCAGTCAAAGAAAACTGATTCTCTTACCATTCACTCATGGCATTTTTAGATTCTGTGGTCCAAAGAAGTGTATCAGCCTCACTCCTGAATTCTGGGATATTCAAGATGGAATTCTTGCCTGTGCATAATTGCTAATTGGATTTCTTTTGCGGGCAAGGAATGAAGCCAGAGAACTCCATGTTGCTGACATAACTCCCTGTTATTCCTAATGATTTTAACTTACAATATCTTAATTATATTACAGAAGTTTGTGAGAGGATGTTCACAAAATACCAAGCAAAATTCATGACTCATGGCTATTTCTCAATAAATATCAATTTGCTTTCTTTTTTTCATTCTCTTCTACTCATTACTCCTCCCCTACACTAATAAATTAAAATACAGGGATCAGTCAGTTTAATACTGTTTTAAGGAGGACTACATGTTATTTGGAGAGAAGGGCAATAAGTCCACCAAATTCACATGACCCCAAGAGGCTACAAGAAAGGAACCACAGGCAGATTGTATACTTTTTAAGAAAGAGAAGGGAATTGACAAAGATGAGGTCTGGGGGGAAAGAAAGCTTACGGAAAGAAAAGAAAATGCATGGGCTCATTGTCAATGTCTTTCATAGTTACCTTAGAGTATGAAACAATCTGTGGTTTGATTTATCCAGATAATTACATTGGTTCTGCATTTGACATATCAGAGGACTAAAAGTTGTGGTTCTGCTGCAGACCAAATGCCCTTTGGAAAGTGACTTTTCTCCCCATATGAACTGAATAGTGGCAATTCAGCCTCAACCACAGCTGAATGTGACCCCTCTGCTCTCCCACTAGCTAGCAAGTTCAAACTTAGCCTCTGGGCCTCATAAATCCAGGCATGTATCAGTTCATCTCCAAACACTTGGTATGTCTGCCCCATCAATTAAAAAGCACAAGGCAAGTGAGCCACTAGAAAGTTCAAGCATGATTAGGCAGCTACCGTGCATTTTCAAATCCACTTTCAACATCTCCATTATTTTAACTAAGACCTCTAGTTATTAGTCTTATTAAAAGAGAAGAAAGAAGAAGAAAAAGAAGACACAAACTTGCTTTCCAGACAGGTTAATACAAGCCCTTCCTCAGTGTTCTATTCTTGATTTAAGGAACATTCTCAGAGTGAGAGAAGAGTTTTGTGTTGTATGGAAAATTTGACTCAACCCAAAAACCCAGCCAACACCACAAAGTGGATTGGAGTCAAATCAGATAAATAGTAAAAGAAAAGAATACAAAATATCTTTGAGTGACAGTGTCAAAAAGGTTCAAAAGCTTATTAGAATCTGGTTCAAAATGCACAGACCACAAGTTAGCTTCATCCTATCAAGGTGCTTTTAGTTATTGATTAAGTGATTTTTTCATTCCTGTGCACACAAACATGTAATTAAATGTTCACAAACATATACATTCCTCTCGGTTTTGGTTTCTGTAACTACCAAAAATAATGTTTGAGAAATCTCCCAAACCTCCCAGTGTATTATTCATGTAACCTGGATATCTCATGAAAACAAAATGTACAAGACTGTAGTGCCAGTTAGCATGTGAAAATATCCGGCAACAGTGTGTTTTTACTTCTGTGATAAACTGTATTGTCTTTTTGTTATAATGGGAAAGGATTAGTAAAGCTTACCAAATAAACAGCAGCTTCCTTAGAGACATTGACCCTTGTATTTTACAAAACCAAGAAACCAATACTGAATAGAATATGGGGCTCTCTGGCAGACTAACGGAGGGCAACCTTCAAGGATCTGAGTCAGATGAGGATTTGGGCTAGTGATACATTTTGATACTTTCTATTTTAAGCACCCCAAAAGCTAGATGCTTATACACAGCTAATCCAATTTTTTCTAAAAATCTGTAGTCTGCAAAATTGTGTTCCTTTAGAACTTTTTGCCTGTTTTTGGCCTGGAAATGATAATATTTAAATAATACATCTTGAAATGCAGAGGTCCACCCAAAGGAAAAATAACATAAAAGAAAGTGAACCAGACACTTTCAGGCCTCAAAAAAGGTCTTACTCGGCTTAGCGAGTGCTTTGGGTGAAGGCTCAGAGGGTCGGGGGGCCAAAACAAGCCTGGTATTTTTCAAACAAAAATTTTACTGTATATTGTACAAGTAAAGGAAATGAGAAGAGATAAAAGCACACGCAGTTTAGAATTTAACTTTTTGGGGTGGAAACTTGAAAGCACTTAAGAAGTGGAATCTAGACATTTTCAAATACACGTCAGCTCTTGTGCTGTCTGAGCTTACATTACCTGTTTGAATTAAGATCAAGACCTGGGTTACCAAATAGTAATGCCCTTTTCAGCAAAGTCCACATTTGAATCAGCTTTTCTGTATCACTCTCTTGAGTAGCCTGCTTTCTTGAACACTGAAGTCTGGTCTGAGCTCCTGAAATCAACATCTCAATGCATTAATCCAGAAAACCTATAATTGATGCCGACACAGGGTTATCATCAGGTGATAAGCCTTCCACCTTACTTTCTTCCATCTTTCATAATGAGGAAGTTCTTGCTTCCAAGATAATTAAAGGACGGCTGATTTATAAGTGGGTTTGCTATGCCACTTTTTTCTTTATATGGTTTCTTTTCAGTTTCTCTTCTGTTAATAACTGGCTTAACACTTTTATATAATAAAAAGGTCAGATAGGCTCCACACAAAGCACCCATAACAGCTGGCAGCCTATCCCACTGCTATTAGCCGTCATTTAGCTGAGCAGAAATGTTGGAGCATGTAGGAACAAAGAGACAATGGAGCATTTCTAGAAGCACATCAGTGCCAGAGCAAAGAAAAAAAGAGGGGCCCTAAAAGGCAAAGTAGAAGGTGAGTCGAACTGCCTAGACACAACGGCAGGATGATTCCCTTTGAAGTAGGTAGCTGGCTTCCTTGCAATACCAGGAGATTATCCTGAAAAAAAATAATGCTTTGGTGGAGGTAAAACCATGCAGTTATGGAGGTCAGATCCAAGCAATGTGAAGAACAGACAAGCATGGCGTATCCACTCACTGCTATTTTCCAGAATCTATATACAGTTAACTAAGGCCTATAATGGTCCAATTAATTTTTAAGGAACCCAGTATGAAAGCAAAAACCATAGTCACTTGAAATGTATATACATGTTCTAGTTTCCCACGATTTTTATTATATAATATTTGGTTGAACTATAAGAAATTGCCAATATTTCAATATTTTGGGCCTACGGAAAAGGCAATTTCATATGGTTCTATTTATGTTTATAAATAGAATGGTGTAAATATTTTCTTTGGATTTGAAAATCAGTCTCATTCTGTGGATTTTTCAGATTTGGTGCATTTAAAAGCTGAACACTAAAATATTTGTGTTTCTCCTTTTCCTAGGGTATCTCCATCTCTTCCCCATTTTCATGGATATCAAGTGTTTCATAGATATCTGGCTCCACATGCCAAGTTGTGGGAAGATTTAACTCCCAACTTAATATGAAATCAAGGATGCAATTTCTGATTAAGCCAGTAAATTTTGCACAGGAAATACTCCTTGTTCTACAGCTACATCCTGTGTATCTCATGCTAGCCTTTGCCAGCAAATATTAGTCCTTGGTTTTAAGAAAGATTCAGGGGAAAAAATTGCTCAACTCTGGAAAAATAAAAACAAGAGTCCTCCTGGGGTCAGAGAAAATTGATTTGATTTATTCTGCAACAACTTCTTACTAGACAGCGGAGAGAAGAGTGCAAGAATCTCTGGGTCAGAAGACCTCACTTAATCTCTCAAGGTCTCAGTGCCCTTATGAGGAGTTGAACCACATGATTAATAAGTTTTTGACTCCTGTATTTATGATTTTTAACACTCATGGAATTGTTAGGGTGGCCTAATGGGTAAACATAAATCTTGCCACGTATAATCTGCCTGACTTTGCCCCAAACTTTTAAAAGCACATGAATATGAGCCAATAAATCTAAATTATAGTATACTGCACATTTGCTGTGAGAAATTTCCTATTATCACTGCCTTTATGTAAATGATTGCTCATAATGTTAGTAGACAAACCACTTAATAATTTCCAGGCCAGTGAACTTTTGCCCCACTTCAAAATAAAGTTGTTATTCTCCTTTCAATAGAAGCTTAGGATACGTCAAGCCTAATGAGAGTAAGTTAGTAGGAAAAAAAGGCTATGTCATCTGTAGAGGTGATAACAAGATCAGATCAAGTGGTTCCAAGTGTTTTATTTTCTACCACATGCCTTCATATGAGTTCATCTCAATGAATACTGTTTGAGTGGTCAGAGAGCTACCATAAAGATGCTCTATCTAAGACCGTATGAAGAATTTTTTTTAAGAATAAAGTTCATGGTAACTTTAAGGTAACATTCTCAGGGGGGAAAACATTTCCAAATATCTGTATTGCAAACTGCCAAGAACAGGGATCCAGTCTTGATCCCTCCGCTGATATGCTCTGGGACTGGAAACAAGTCAATTTCTCCCTCCCTCAAGGTCTTAAAATTAATGTTTTATCTGGATCACCTATGTTGTAGTAATCAGGGTTTCCCAAGAATAAAATGGAATTATATGGCATCTTAGATTCCTTCCAAAGGTGGTGTCACTGTTTCTTTCTCCTTAATTAGGTGATGATATTGCCAACATCTCCCCAAGGCATCATATTTATTCCAGCAAGTTCTTATTTAGAAAGCTCATATTACAATTATTCTGTACACTTTATCTGGATTGGCAAATTTAAGTCCCCATCCACTAATTTATGCTTTATTAAAACTGATTCAGTTGAGGGAGCATATCTGACAGTACTGCAACCAAATTCTGTAAAGGCAAACTACAAATTAAAGGCCATATCAAATCCCATGTATAAGAAGTAAATATGTATGTGTGGCTATATGAGTCTGTACATGTGTGTACAAACGCAGGGTGGTAACTATAGTGTGAAGCAGTAATGCCCTCCAGGACCATGATGCTGATCAGGACAACTTTATTCTAGTATGAGTATGTTCAGTGGTGGCTCCAATGTGGCTAATGCTAAGGTGAAGTTCATGCCAGCACAGGGCCGATTGTTTCATTTCCTGTCTCAATGGCAGCCTGTTGCAGTGAGGCAGAGAAAAGTGTGCCTCATCCTCAAAAGTTTGGAAGATGCATTAAAAATTGGATAGGAAGAGCCAGGATGGAAAGATGAAAGAACTGAGAAATGGGTCAAAAATAAAATGTCAGCAACCATTCTTGAAATGAAAAAAGGATGACTGTGGAAGGGGAAGAAAGGAGTTCAGGGAGCATGAAGGAGGGGTAAAGGAGTGATAAAAGGAAAATACATGTAAGCAAAAATGAGAAGGTAAAAAGTGAATTATTAAGGAAAGAAGATGATACATACAAGGACAGATTAATGAATGAAAAAAATCATATACCTTCTAAGCCTGCAAATATGAATTTTGCTAACCTTGGATGCCATAAATAGGAATTCCAACAACCTCAACAGTCCAAATTGGCGATTTCACTTAGTCATTTTTTTCTACAGTACCAAAATAGCAATTTATTCGGACCTAATAGAAGATCTTGCTGATGTAGTAGTTGAGCTTGGTAGGTGGTATTCTTCTGGTAAGACATGAAGATTATCCTAGATGAGTAGTAAAGCATCTTCTAGAAATGTCCAGACCAGAGAGAGACCTTAGAAACAAAGGGAGTCACTATCACTCTCCATTGTTTTGGCCTTGAATTCAACTTCTCTATCACCAAAAATGATTGGACTCGAGGCCCTATTTCAGGGACTGAGTTTAGTCAGAATGTTTTCTCAATTAGCAAAAAATGCAGTGTCTGACAGCTAGTCCCTTGCAGACTACACACCTCAACAGCGTGATTTAAAGGCAAAAGAAAGTTCCAACCACCAAAAGTATTCCTCACTGGTTCTGCCATGATCCTTGAAAACACTGACAAGAAGAAGTTTTGCTGAAATAAGGCAAGAGACGAGGCAACACATAAAGTCAATATTGTTCATGATCTCACTAGAACAGATTGGCTTAGCAGTTCAGATGGCTGTCACCTGGAAGAAGACTCTGTGGGTATAAGACCAGAGCTGGATATGTTTTGTTGTGGAGAGAGACAATGGCAGGTCCAGAACAGCATTGTTACTAGAGAAGGCTGGCTTGTGTGGGAGGAGGACTGTAGAGAGAAGTGGGCGGCAGTGCAGTCGGAAGGAAAGGCAATGAGGGACTGAAGGAAAGGCAACATTTGGTATGTGGTATGTGTGTGTGAGACAGGCGTGAACATATGTTTCCTCCCACCATGCGCAGTGCAATTATATGCATTTCAGGGATAAGAGAAGTGGGAGACAACATGTACCAAGCCCAGACAAGGCTCCACTATGTTTTAAGAGTGCTCACGGCCAGGTGCGGTGGCTCACACCTGTAATCCCAGCACTTTGGGAGGCCAAGGCAGGCAAATCACAAGGTCAGGAGTTCAAGACCAGCCTGGCCAACATGGTGAAACCCCGTCTCTACTAAAAATACAAAAAAATTAGCCGGGCATGGTGGTGGGTGCCTGTAGTCCCAGCTACTCAGGAGGCTGAGGTAGGAGAATCACTTGAACCTGGGAGGCGGAGGTTGCAGTGAGCCGAAGATTGCGCCACTGCACTCCAGCCTGGTGACAGAATGAGATTCCGTCTCAAAAAAAAAAAAAAAAGAATGCTTATACAATAAGCTTCATTTTTTTATCAGCCACCACAAATGCCAATTTCATTATAATGCCAGTCTATATTCTGAATAATGCTGCTTAATCCAGCTTGTTTGACAGCAAAAACCTAGGATCATTGTTCATAATAATTTCTTGTAGAGGTTGCTTTAAATGAATGGAGGTAAATACATTCTATCAGTAAGCCACCTTTTGTGTGAAACAGGGTCAGCGGTTCACAAAAAAATCTCACAAATTATTATTGTCCTGATTTAATATTTATGGAATGCTGTGCTTGAGTCTTTGCTACCACTTTTATGGCAGTTTCATAAATTATCCCTGTGATATAATTATTCCCATTTTATAGAGGAAGAAATTAAAGGAAATAAAGTAACTTGCTCCGATGTTCAGGAAGTTTGGGTCTTGGGCAGAAATCATGGTTCTTTTCTCAGAACACTGAGTCCCAGCTCTCACACAGACTATAGTGAATGCTGAGAAATTTTTAATGTGACTCTGAACATCCTGACCTTACTCAAATTTTATAAAAACAAGGATAACTATTAAGAGTTTATCTCCATGTATCATTCTCTTATTTACCGGCCTTGGAGTGGTGAGTTGAATCCTATGTATTGCCAAGAACCAATTGCCAGAATTACCACTGGACTCAAGAAAATACCATGGAGAGGGGATAAGGAATGCCAAGCACTGATCATCTGGGCCCCAGTGAGATAGGACTGCCCCTTCTCTCAAGTGTTTCCAAGAAGAGAAATTGCTCAAGGAGGAAACTCATGGGAACTAACTTGGGAGCCTTGCCTTATTCCGTGTAAAGAAGTAAGAAGATTGAGACTGTCTGGATGGTTGCATTTACTGGATTTAAGAAGTTATCCTAATTGAATTCAGATCCTAAATAATTTCTGAAATGCACATCTCCAAAGTGTCAAGTTGCTGAAATATTTACAAATGAGCCTAACGTTTAGTTGTTAGAGAAAAATCTAGGCTGCTATACAAACTGTCCTAGGCTTTCTGGATGGATAAATGTCTATATTTTAAAGAGGTGCCTTCAAATTATTTAATCAATTATAGGAAGAAAGTAAAACAATTATGTCCACGTAAGCACTTGGACTGTTTTGCAACCAGCTATTGTATTTCAGTCCACTGACAGGAACAATTTTTCACTTTCTATAAGGAGTACAGAAAATCTGATTATAGAATGGAGGAAAGGAACAAATAGGAAATCAGAAAGATTAATAGAGATAAGAGCCAAAGAGTCAATTGTTAAAACATGTAGCAGGAACTTAGTAATGAGAAGAATTAGAGAAGTTAGGAGGACAAAAATATGGGTACCATTCTTTAAAGAGTAATAGATTCCTCAGATATACCAAGATCAAAAAGATACAGAAAGGTTGAAAAACTATTATAGATTAAAGAAGCTTAAAAAGACATGGCAAGTAATGCTATATGTGATTCTGGACTGCATTCTGTATGGTAAGAAAAAAATACTGCAAAAGACACTATTTGAACAATTAAATTTGGAATATGGATTGTTGATTAAATACAAGTTTGATATTAATGTTAATTTTCCAGAACCTGATAACTATACTGTAGTTATATATATTCATGTTCTTACATACCGAAATATTTAGGCATAAAGGGTCAAGATAGCTCCAACTTGCTTTCAAATAACTCAGAATAAAAATAGGAATAGGTATACATATATATCCATATATAAATTTATTTTCCTATATATGTAAATATTTTTCTCCATAGGAAAAAATATTCATTTTATCAGTGAATAAAGGATATATATCAGTTCCTTGTGCTAGTCTTCCAATTTTTAAAATGATTTTTAAACTATAACAACATATAAAGTTACCAAGAGTTAACACAGAGTGGAGGAACTAAGCAGTTTCTTAAACAAACAGCCTACTGTATTCTTAAACACTCCTGACTACCCTGACATCAAAGTCCTCATCCACCCATTAATAGAATACATAATGAGAGAAACAGGAAAGCAAAGACTCTAACATATGCTTTTAAAGTTTCCTGTTGACTTTGAACAGCAATTGCATGCCCTGTCGTCGCTTCAAGGTGCCATTTCTATATCTTAAAAATGTAAGGTTCAAACAAAAATCTTTTGTTTCCAGTCCTAACCAGCTTGACTCAAGGAACTGACAGCTGCTGAGGACCACAAAACAAATCAAGAAGGAAGTACCCTAGTGCTCTCCAAATGGCTCTATGTACCCCAATTGTTCAAGAGTCCAGGAGAGTCTGATTTTTTTAGCCGGCTACAGAAATTCTCATTTCTCAATGGTGCTGCAAGCCCTGATATTTTATTATTTCTCCCAGCAGTTTGAGGGTATTCTCATAAGCCCTTTGGGACATGATGTTTAATTACCTTTAAGAAAGCCAGAAATGCTATTTTGTGGCCATGGGCAGATTACATACACATGCACAAATGCACGCCTTCTCACGAAAGTGAGTTTCTGAGGTTTCATGACTCACTGTGTCTTCTATTCAGATAGGTTGTGTATTGTGTTTGGCTGGGACACAAAAACAGGTAGCTTAACTAGTAGCTCGAGCATGTGGCCTTTGTCCATAGCCCAAAGGAGATCACCTGTTGAGCCCTCAGTAGAATTTCCACTCCCTGTCCAAGTCAAAAGCATAACTGAGAAAAGCTGCTGTTCGTCTCCAGGTGTTTCTTCGAGTTAGCCAACTTCCTCCCTCTCCATTGTGTTTCCCAGGAATGGGAGGCTTGAAATTGGGTGGCAGTTAGTGAGGTATTGCATGAAGAGCTGAATAGGAAATAGCACCCAACCAGTCAGACTAGAGATCTCTTTCTCATTTTTTTTTTTTTTTTTTAAGAATTGCTTCTTTTAAAGGATCCAGGACCAGGCTGTATGTAATTGATACGCTTATCGCCCACCCTGTATTCTCACCTTCTCTGGGCTTATCCATATCTACTGCTGCCTTCCAAACACTATGAAAACATTCTTCTAGAAAGTCTCCACAAATCTGCCTCATTGATCCTGCCCACAACTCTCTTTTATATCCTCTCAAGACTTAAGCATAGGTGTATCTTTCCTTACAAAACATGTATTCTTGAAAAGCTGAATGTAAAAGTAATTTTTAAAAACTCAACATGTTTGAGTCAGGTCTTAGTTGCAAGCCAAAGAAATACTCTCAGACTTAACAAAAGAGGAAATTACTAGAAGTATATGTGATTTAGATGACACAATCCATAAGAGAGCTGGAGAAGAAAAACTTGGGGTAGGGGGAAAAGGCCAAAGTCAAGGAAGCAGTCAGTAGGACCAATCCACAGGAAGAATCTGTGGAAGACATTGCCACTGACACCCCCACCCATGCCACAGCAACACACAGCTACACTAGACAATAGTTACTACTGCCCCTGGGAAAAATTTCTTAACCAACTTTGTAAGTTTGAACCATTCCCTCAAAGTTCAGAGTCCCAGTTGGGAGCATCCAGGTGGCTGAGCCTAGGTCATATGCTTCTGTGCTACCTATCTTCACCCTAATAGAAAGTGGTTCCAATCCTGAGAAGCAAGAATAAATGCCCACACATTTTAAAACTTCAAGGGAATTAAAATTGAGAACTTCATTTGCAAATTGAAAACTCTTATTTTAAAAGTTGCCCTCTTGATTGAACTCTTTCCTGAACTCCCATTCTTGGCCCACGGGATTTATTCAGTCAATGCCCCCATCTCTGTGAGCCCCTCTATTCCCTTCTATGTTCACTCTAAAGTAGAGAGAAAATTATTTCAGCACCTTGGTCTTAGCTTACTAAAATATTTGTGAATTTTCATCCATATATCATCATTTCAATGGGCCAAAGAGCAGGAATAAATGAATCTAATTAGAATTGACAGTAACTGACCTCTTCCTTTGCATTTCCCTGGACAGAGGTGTCAGATTATCACATTTTCTAATGCATCTCCTGCTCTGTCTAGTAGAGGGAAGAGCTGCAGCAGTTGGCTGGTCCTTTTCCTGTATCTGAAGGTTCATTATAAGCCTTGAAGACGAATAAAAAATGAATGTGTTCCATCTAAACCATTGCAGGATATCTCCTCATACACACAGATGAGGCCCCAAAATTTCTTAGTTCCTTTTCACGTACTGTTTTCAAGTTGCTAAATGAAGGCAGAGATTTTAGAATATCTGTTTTCCAATTATCCTCCCTTCTTAGAAAGGCATCATAGGCCAGGCACGGTGGCTCACACGCCTGTAATCCCAACACTTTGGGAGGCCGAGGCGGGTGGATCACGAGGTCAGGAATTCCAGAGCAGCCTGGCCAATATGGTGAAACCCCGTCTCTACTAAAAATACAAAAATTAGCCGGGCATGGTGGCATGTGCCTGTAGTCCCAGCTACTCGGGAGGCTGAGGCGGGAGAATTGCTTGAACCCGGGAGGCGGAGGTTACAGTCAGCCGAGATGGTGCCACTGCACTCCAGCCTGGGTGATAGAGCGAGACTCTGTCTCAAAAAAAAAAAGAAAGAAAGAAAAAGAAAAGAGAAAGGCATCATAGACACAGGGTGTCTCTCCTCTAGGACATTGAAAATGCTCATGGAGTTCAGGAGACTAACATTGAGCGTTTCCAGCGCTCCAAGTGTTGTCCTAGGTACTGCATGTATTTTAGCACATTTTATCCATACAATGACCCATGGAAAGTAATGGTATGCCCTCTTTTCAGGTGATTAAATGGAAACTAAAATAACTAAATGGCCCAAAGTACAGAGCAGTAAATAAGAAAGCCAGGATTCAAACACATACTCCCCAGAACTCCTGCTCTTTTCACTCATACCATGATACCTTGAATTATTCTCTTGTCTCCTATTCTCTCTCACTCCCTTTCTCTCTCTCTTTCTCTTTCTCTCTCTCTATATATATGTGTGTGTGTGTGTGTGTGTGTACACACACACATATAAATAGCACAGATATATATGTATATGTAGCTGGATGTGCTACTTAGGCCCTCAGAAGAAGAAATTCGGTGATGCCTTCTATATGCCATATCCTGTTTGAAGTCCTTGGTGCAGTTAGGTAATATTTTAACTTTTTTGTGTGATTAGAAAAATACACCCACGATATAAATTAATCTCAAAAATAAGACAAAGTATAAGAACAAATTAAATCATTTATAATTGATGGGATGGATTCTATTTGGTTAATATATCTAAATCTAAGACAATTACAAGACTTCAATGCTATACAAATGTTTTTAGTATAGAACCAAATTCAAATTATTCTAGGCTGACTCTTCAGGCCCCTCAAGACAAGGGACTGAATGTGAGAGTTCCAGAGAGGCTGATATCAGAAATATTATACAGTCTTGCAACATGGCAGAACCTCGTCTCTACAATACAAAACAAAAAAAATAGCCGAGCATGGTGATGTGTGCCTGTAGTCTCAGCTACTTGGGAGGCTGAGGTGGGAGGATCACCTGAGCCTGGGGAGGCCAAGGCTGCAGTGAGCCATGATTGTGCCACTGTACTCAGCCTGGGTGACAGAATGAGACCCCAGAAAAATGAGTGAGAGAGAGAGAGAGAGAAAGAAAAAGAGGGAAGGAAGGAAGGGAGAGAGAGAAAAAGAAAGAAAGAAAATGGAAGGAAGGAAGGAAGGGAGCAAGGGAGGAAGGAAAGAAGGAATTATTTTCACTTAATTATTTGATTAATTAATCTTGTATAATTTGATCCCTGGCAGAAGAGGCAAAATAACAATGTTCATGATGAAAGGCTGATACAAATGAAGCAGCAGTGGCAATTAGTTGTCCTTTCTGCAGCTGAAGAGAATGCCTGTGGAAACCAGCCCAGCCTGACAACTGTCGCCAGGCCTCCTCTGCATTTCTCATCTCATCATTATAGGAGCAGATGTGGGAGGGAAGTGGATTCATTTATTCACCCAACAAATGTTTATTGAGTGCCTACTATAGGCCTGGCAAGTCTTCTAGGTACTGGTTAGCATTGAGCAAGACAGACAAAACCCTGCTCTTACAGGAAAACAAAATGAGAAATGTTTTCCGAGGACCAAAGTCCTTGTATCTGAATGTTTCAAATAAACTTCAAGCTTTTTGTATTTTCTAGTTTTATGCCAGGACTAGAGGAACAAACCATCCCCTTATGATTTGCTGAAAGGCAGTGCCCAGTGAAATATTGCTCAAGATAAGGAAAGTCATATTACAGAGGGAGCAGGTTCAAATTAGAGTGATATTCAAGTAAAAAGAGTCTCCAGGTTGGAAGGTGGTTTAAACCCAACAATGCCAAAGTAATAGGTGGATTGGTTTTTCCCCTCTCATCCACGTATGCACCTGGACCGAGACAATGCCGTATCTAACCGAAAAGCAACTTAGCCAGGCATGGCGGCTCATGCCTGTAATCTCAACACTTTCAGAGGCCAAGACAGGCACATCACTTGAGGTGAGGAGTTCGAGACCAGTCTGGCCATGTAGTAGATGGCCATTTAGTAGAGACAGTGAAACCCCATCTCTACTAAACTGCAAAAATTAGCCTGGCATGGTGGTGGGTGCCTGTAATTCCAGCTACTGGGGAGGCTGAAGCAGGAGAATTGCTTGAACCTGGGAAGCGGAGGTTCAAGCGATTCTCCTAGTTCAGTGAGCTGAGATCACGCCACTGCACTCCAGCCTGGGCAACAGAGTGAGACGCCTCAAAAAAAAAATGAATGAATAAAAAGAAAAGCAACTTAGAAACTGTAACTATTTTCCCCAACAGTCTCAGGGAACACGGCCTCTTTTCCATGGAGGCTTCTTGATGCCTTTTATATGTGTGGGTGTCCCTAGGCATGTTTTAAGCTCATTTCTGGGTGTAGCAGGCTTTTCCCATCCTTGACAATAAAACACACCCAGATTACCACACAGAGTTCCTGGCTTCAAAAGGTCCGATGCCTTTTTAAAGAAACTTCTCTTGGGGCTTCCAATTCTTAGAAGTTAAAGAAAACTCTTAATGCCTTTCCCGCCCTATGACTACACAACATGGACAAGGTACAAAACGTTAATTTGGAAAACCAACCTTATCAAGTCACATGGGTGCATATTCATAAATTATTTGTCTCCCAGCCCATTAAGTTTCCATTATCTGTTTCCAAGATTGTTGCACCTCTCTCAGGCCCACCCTGTTTCCTATTTGTGAGCTGAGGCTGAAGAGTAGGACCTGCTGCTCAGGTGTGGGGACATTCAGTAATTAGAATGTTAAGCACTGCGAGTTTTAGGTTGTATCTACTTTGTCTAGAAATGTTTCCAGTTACTAACAAAGGACATGGAGAATCTTGTTCTTTATTGTCTATAGCCCAGTTTGTCTTTCACACTTGAATGACTGAATCGTCATTTTTGGGGAGACGGGGAGATTTGTATGAAAGAAGGATGAATGACATACAGCCTCCTCCTTGCAGTATATAATCCACTAATTTGAGCAACAAAAAGAAATAAAAAGATGCAACAAAACAACTTAATTTCTAATTCTAGGATTGCTACATCAGATAGGGCTTCCTAATGTTTTTGCAGAAGAAGATCACTTTTTACTTAAAACACAGTCATGTATTCATATCCCCCCACATGCAAACACAAACTGTGTACCCCCCTACACACGCAAACACACATAATTGTGGTTGTACTTTAGGTGTGTATTATTTAATAAAATATATAGTATCCAGATGCTACTATGTTTTCAGAAAGCTTTCAATAAATTTCTATTTTAAGTAATTAATTTTAAGAGTTAATCACAGGGGCATCTATATACATTTGAAATACAACTGTGCCTAAATACAGAAGATATTTTAGAGTCACAGGTATACCTATGGACTCATACATTCCTAATAATAGCACTGAGGTTTTCACAGACTTGGATCAGCCCACAAGTTGAAAAGTTCAGAGTTGGGGAAGAAACACTCTATTCCACTTGAGTTGGGTCAGAACCAGGCTAGGCATTTTGGAGGCCTCAGGTTTAATTGTGTCTGTGCCATTTAGCTGTGTGAACTTGGACATGTTGCTTAATCTCTTTGGGCTGCATTTTCTTCATCTGTAAAGTGGTGATGATACAATCTAATGATGTCGATATGATTCTCAAGTTAGATAATAGATATTATATAAAGATAAAGATGCTAAATTACTAGGATCACAGCTACACTTTCCCTTTCTATGACTCTCAGATCTGGTCCCACAGCAAATAGCTTATATGTACTTGCTTCATACAGCCAGAAGTAAGCAACATTTCCAAAGAACCCAAGCCATATGGGTAGTGACATTTACCCACCACTAGCCATGCTGAATTTAAACTGATGACCTATTCATAAAAGCTTTGGTGTCTGTTTTCCAGCCTACCAAGTCATTTCCCAAACAGAAACTCTGCCAATTCCTCCGTCTCCTGATATGATATGCAATGTTGTGCAATGTTGCTCTCTTAAGAACTGGCCTTTCTATTTATTGTAATTTATTCAAAGATTTTTAGAGAATATGAATTTACAGCAGAGATGAACTAAGGAAGTACTGCATTTGTGGAAGAGATGGTATCACTGAAATTTTAGCATTTTGAGTCCATAAATAGTGCCCCTTCTGTAATCCATTATTCTCTGCAGGGATCCGTGGGCTCAAATCTATTTAACTCACTTTTTTTTTCTCATGTCATCTGGTAAGATTTAGCCATAACTGCATAACTGTAGCAGCTTCAGCCCAAATTACCATGCTGCTTGGAAATGGCTTATAGCATGCTACTCTACGATGACTATGTCTTTTTCTCATAGCAAACTTAAGAGTGTGGGTCCCATGCTAAGCATACATTCATAACCCAGGAAGAGTGAGCGGGGCAGCACAGGAGCAGGTATCATCCCATAGGGCATTGCTCAGCGAGCTGCAGCTGCTCAGCCCTTACCCCAAGGGCAGCCAAAACATCTAGATCAAAGGGAGTTCAGAAAGAATGAAAGCACAACCCTAATTCAATACAGGAAAATTGCCATGACTGTAGTGCTTAGTTCATTCTTCTAAGACAACAACAACAGAAGGGAGAGAAAAAAAAAGATAAAAAATCCCTAAGATCAGGCTCTGGCATCAGGAATTAGGCTGCCAAGGCGGAAGGCATACCCAGTGGGGAAGGCAGCTCGTTTTCCGAGATTAATCAGAGTGCTTTGAGTCTGCTTTTATTTCCAAATGTACTACTGCCAAGGTACAACATAAGCCACTTAATTCCTTCCCACAAACTAGAATTATTAGCTGTCATACAAGCTACACAATTTTAATAAAATCCCAGGAAAAGTAAAACGCATTTAAGGTGGAAGAGTTAAACCAGGAGATAGGTAGTCAGAGGCTGAGTGGGGTTCTACCTCATTAACAGCCTAATATAAATCCATCTCTGGGTGTTGATGAAAAGCAGTTACACTACGTGGTTACCTGTTGACACCTGCCCAGTAAGTTGTTTTGTGATGGACAGAGGGCAACTTGTAATCATCACAAGAGCTTGCAATAACAATAAGCAAAATTTCTTAGTGGAAAAACCAAAGATACAGAAAAATCTATGAGAAAATTATACTTTCCACTATAGGAGTTTCCTTTACAGACTGATTTGGGGCAATAATTGGTCTAAAACTAGGCAAAAAGGAGAAGAAACATTTGATTTGGAGGCCTTCGATCCAAAATGTCTTTCCACCTTCCCTTCAGAGGGCAGCTGACATTGATCACCCTCCCCCATCCCCATTAGTCACTCCTCAGTTGAGACAAATCTGCAGCAGGAGTGTGTTAAAATGCCACTGTTACTTGGGAGGGTGACACATGAATGCCTGTGATCACATCAGTTTACCAGGTTGCTTGGTAATGGGTCAAGCCTCTGAGCTTTAAGACGAAGAGTGAAGCAATCAAGTTCTAATAGAATGAGGATTTTTTTTTTGAGGTAGAAAGGGGTGCACCTGGGATGGGAATTCCTGTGAGGAGTGCCCCAGAATGAGTCTCCTCCCACCCTAGGGATGTGGGGAGAGAGTGGGGGAACAGCAGACCACAAAAGAGGCAAAGAGGACTCACGGCTCTGGACTAGACTAGACTAGACTGACTCTACCTTTTACTCCAGAACAAGAATGCACTAGCTGAAGCTGTAGTTGCATTTTGAACCAAGTCTTAAATTGCCACCTTTCATAGTTTGCCTGAGGACATTTATCAGTTTGATTGGAAACACCACCAACTCAGACCCAAATAGTTCATTCTTTAATAATAATCTTAACCACAAAGATAATAGAGCATAGATTAAGTCTTCCTTTAATAGATTGTTTCAGACCAAGAGAAATGTATTCTTGGTCATACAGTAAAGCTCCTTTGAATTTACCCAGTAATTGCTACTGCATACTGGTATAACTGAAGAATTTAATTTGGAAAAGCAAACACAGTGGGTTTTGTTTTGGTTTGTTTTAAACTGAAAAACTGCATAATATGTTTCTAGTTTCACATATGTCTACTTCTTGTTCAACATGGTAGAGCAAAAGTAAGTTAGGAAAACACATTTACTAGGATTTTGCAATTATTTTTCTATTTTTATTTAATCTATTTTCATTTGTTGTTTGCCTTTCCTGCCATTTCTGTAAATGTCCACATTTATTTTTCTATGATTTCTAAATAGAGAAGAATTGAAACAGGGAATTGAATTATTATAAAAATAAACTTCCCAGTGAACAAATCCATCAATACTAGATGAGATGCCTTTCTTTCCTAGCAAGCGCGCTCTACAATGGGGCAGCAACCCTCTTCTGTTCTGAACAGACCGTGTGGTTCATATCAGCTCTCCTTCTTATGAGAGATTATTGTCCTTGTGTATGTTGAGTAAAAAGCAAATATCTAAAAGACATCTAATTACAAATTCCTATTCTTACTAGAGGAGAGAAACAGTATGTGGAGAAGGCAAATTCTTGAGGATTTTCTTTATCAGTGGTTTATTGTTGATTGGGAAAAAAGGGAAACTGGGATGAGAGAGACAAAGAAGATGAATTTGAATCAGCTATCACCACTGCTGATGCCTCATCCTTAGAATTTCTAGGGTAGACCCTGCTTAGGTGAGGCACAATAAGGCTTAAAAATAAGGCAGGATAAGGTTCATTGCTCAATCCTTCTATCTAGGCAGCCCCCACCTGAAGGTCCTGATACAAAATTATCATCCTCAGAGCCAAAAATCACTCCACTCTCCAGTAACTTGAAAAATTAGCCAATATCACTGCTGAAATGCATCCTACAATTGTTTTAGACATATCAGTTCTACTAATTTGCATAAAGCAGTACGGAAGAAGTCCCTGCAATCCAAACCCTTTCCAGAATGTATCAGTCACGTTGTTTCTCAGGACTGCTTTCAAATAAGATTAGTACCTTTTGACTAGACCTGGCAATAGAAAGTGGGTAACATCACAAAACAATTAGGTTATTTCCAGTGGGTCAACGAAATAAGTTAGTTCCTCAGAAGCTGAATGAAGTTTGCAGTGTGTGGTGTTGGAATGCCATCTGATCCAAACTCCCACTGAATGGGTAGGAGAATCTTCTACACCATGTCCCCAACAGATGGCCAGTCTCCACTTTAACATTTTCAGTGTGCAACACATACAACCCACGCATTTACAGAATGGCCCATTTCTGTTTTCCAACAGCTCCAGTGTTTAGGTTGTGTCAGTATCACACAGTTTTCTCCCTCTCTACATTTTTATTCATCTGATGGTTTCACTCCCCTACTCTAAACACAGATAACTCTCTAGTGGCTTCAGAAGAAATCTAAACGCCTTAGCAAGGCATTTCAAGACCTTGATGATGTACATCTCATTTTTCCACCCAAATCTATTTTCATTTCCCTACTTCAGCCATCTATTCAGCAAATATATATATATCAAACCATATATATATATGATGTATATCTCATTTTTCCACCCAAATCTATTTTCATTTCCCTACTTCAGCCATCTATTCAGCAAATATATATATCAAACCATATATATATATATATATTTTTTTTTTTTTTCTTGAGATGGAGTTTTACTCTTGTCACCCAGGCTGGAGTGCAGTGGCACAATCTCGGCTCATTTCAACCTCCACCTCATGGGTTCAAGTGATTCTCCTACTTCAGCCTCCAAAGTTGCTGGGATTATAGGTGCTTGCCATCACGCCCGGCTAATTTTTGTATTTTTAGTAGAGATGGGGTTTCACCGGGTTGGCCAGGCTGGTCTCAAACTCCTGACCTCAGGTGATCCACCTGTCTCGGCCTCCCAAAGTGCTGGGATTACAGGCATAAGCCACCGTGCCCAGCCAAACCCTATATATTTTGAACACTGTGGTAAACATTGGCACCACAAAGAAGAAAAAAAGTTTCTCGAACTCAGAAGCTCACAGGAGCTCATTCCAGGTACCCTGAGCACTGGCAACACCAAGCTATTAACTGTTTCTCAACACGTCGCATATCCTCCCAACACTGTGGGACTGTTCTCTCTTCTTGAAATGCCCTTTCCTCCCCATTACTGCTGGTAGAAATTCTAATTATTAGTGCTACTTCCTATGAGAACGCTTCTCCAACCTCAAAGTCAGAATTGAGGACTCCCCACCCATCTACTGCCATAGCATTTAACATCTAGAAAGTAGAGCCTGAGAGAAGGGGATACCTAAATAATACCAATGGGGGAAATCTGGCTTATGTAAGCAAAGATAGAAATTTATCAGAAGGATATGGCATAACTACAAGAACGAAAAGAGAAGTTGAAAGTCAGATTTTAGAATCAACTGGAACCTGGGTAGCTCTTGGGTTCCAGGGAACAGACACTAGAGGTGATTTCGTTGTTGTTGTTGTTGTTGTTGTTGTTGTTGTTGGCCAGGGAGCATCAAAACACTTTGATTGACAATGCTGTCAAGGCTGAATACAATTGAGGGGAGCGGAAGGAGGGCTGTTGCCAGAAAAAAAGAGATAATACGAGGCGGGAATGCAGCAGATGCACCCTCCACTAAAGGTGATAGCCAGAGGAGTTATCAAATTTTTCCAAATGAACTTGCTTAGAAACTCCTAGGGTCCTGATTTAAATATAGATAAATTCATATATGGTAGATCCACAATAGGATGTTAACAAAGTAAAGATTATGAAGCATGGTTAAACTTTAACCCAAAAAAGAGTATTTATTGCACGCATAACAATACAAAAACATTTCTGTAAGACAAAATCACTCGTTTTTTCCTACGTTCCCTTCCAACACTTGATCATATATATAAAATCCCAGCATAAATCGAGTTATGTTTTCCAAATTTTCCCCTTTTTCTATGTCTTGCACATTTTTTCAGGCTGCTTCACAGTCTTTAACATTTTTATATTAATTATTTTTTAATATCCTGTGTGTTCCTAACACAGAATTTGTTCATTGAATGTTTAGGATATTTCTAATGTTTGCTTCTATACATAGTTCTATCATTAATATCTTCATGTATACAAATTTTCTTTTCTTTCTTTTAACTTTTATTGTAAGTTCAGGGGTACATGTACAGATTTCTTATATGGGTGAATTGCATGTCATGGAGGCTTGGTGTACAGATTAGTTCATCACCCTGGTAATAAGCATAGTAGTAATAAACATGGATAGTTTTTCACTCCTCACCCTCCTCCCACCCTCCACCCTCAAGTAGGCCCCAGTGTCTATTGTTCCCCTCTTTGTGTCCATATGTACTTGATGTTTAGCACCCACTTATAAGTGAGAACACACGGTATTTGGTTTTCTGTTTCTTCGTTAGTTCCCTTAGGATAATGGCTCCCAGCTCCATCCATGTTCCTGCAAAGGACATAATCTCATTCTTTTTCATGGCTGCATAGTATTCCATGGTGTAGATGTACCACATTTTCTTTATCCAGTTTGTCATTAATGGGCATTTAAGTTGATTCCATGTCTTTGCAATTGTGAATAGTGCTGCGATGAACATATGCATGCAGGTGTCTTTATGGTAGAATGATTTGTATTCCTTTGGTCATATACCCACTAATGGGATTGTCAGATCAAAGAGTAGTTCTGTTTTAAGTTCTTTGAGAAATCACCATACTGATTTCCACAGTGGTTGAACTAATTTACACTCCCACCAGCCATGTATAAGCATTCCTTTTTCTTCTCAGCCTCACCAGCATCTGTTATTTTTTGACTTTGAATATGGTCATTCTGACTGGTGGAAGGTGGTATCTCTTTGTGATTTTAATTTGCATTTTCCTAATGATTAATAATGTTGAGCATTTTTTCAAATGCTATGTGTATGTCTTCTTTTGAGAAGTATCTGTTCACATATTTGCCCACTTTTTAATAAGATTATTTTTTCTTGTAAATTTGTTTAAGTTCCTTATAGATTATAGATATTAGACCTTTGTCAGATGCATGGTTTGCAAATATCTTCCCCTCTATGCACACAAGCTAGAAAACCTAGAAGAAATGGATAAATTCCCAGACACATACAATCTTCCAAGACTGAACCAGGAAGAAATTGAATCCCTGAACAGACTAATAATGAGATCCAAAATTGAATCAGTAATAAAAAGCCTACCACAAAAAAGTCCAAGACCAGACAAATTCACAGCCAATTCTACCAGATGTATAATGAAGAGTTGGTACTACTCCTACTGAAACCATTCCAAAAAATTGAGGAGGAGGGACTCTTCCCTAACTCATTCCATGAGGCCAGCATCATCCCGATACCAAAACATGGCAGAGACACAACAAAAAAAAGAAAACTTCAAGCCAGTACCCTTGATGAACATAGATGCAAAAATCCTCAACAAAATACTAGCGAACTGAATCCAGCAGTACATCAAAAAGCTAATCCATGATGCTCAAGTAGGTATCATCCCTGGGATGCAAGGTTGATTCAACATATGCAAATCAATAAATGTGATTAATCACATAAACAGGATTAAAAACAATAATCACATGATCATCTCAATAGATGCAGAAAAGCCTTTTGATAAAAGTCAACATCGCTTCATGTTATAAACCTTCAACAAACCAGGCATTGAAGGAACATACTGCAAAATAACAAGAGCCATCAATGACAAACCCACAGCAACATCATACCGAATGGGCAAAAGCTGGAAACATTCCCCTTGAAAACCAGAAAAAGATAGGAATGCCCTCTCCCTACACTTATTCAACATAGTACTGTAAGTCCTGTCCGGTGCAATCAGACAAGAGAAATAAATAAAATGCATTCAAATAGGAAGAGAGGAAGTCAAACTATCCCTGTTTGCAGATGACACGATTCTATAGCTACGATATAGATATAGATTCCATAGTCTCTCCCAGAAAGCTCTTCCTTGGTCTGATAAACAACTTCAACAAAGTCTCAGGATACAAAATCAATGCACAAAAATCACTAGCATTTCTACATGCCAACAACATCCAAGCAGAGAACCAAATCAAGAATGCAATTACATTCACTGTAGCCACAGAATAATAAATTACCTAGAAATACAGCTAACCAGTGAGGTAAAAGATCTCTACAACAAGAATTACAGAACACTGCTCAAAGAAATCAGAGATGACACAACAAATGGAAAAACATTCCATGCCTATGGATAGGAAGAACCCATATTGTTAAAATGGCCATACTGCCAAAAGCAATTTATAAATTCAATGCTATTCCTTTCAAACTACATTCTCCACAGAATTAGAAAAAAACTATTTTAAAATTCATATGGAAACAAAAAAGGGCTTCAATAGCCAAGGCAATGCTAAGCAAAAAGAACAAAGATGGAGGCATCATGTTACCTGACTGCAAACTATACTACAGGGCTATAGTAACCAAACAGCATGGTAGTGGTACCAAAACAGATACAGTGACCAATGGAACAGAATAGAGAACTCAGATATAATGCTACATGCTTACAACCACATGATCTTTGACAACATTGACAAAAACAAGCAATGGAGAAAGGACTCCCTCTTCAATAAACGGTGCTGGAATAACTAGCTAACCATATGTAGAAGACTGAAACCGGACTCCTCCCTTACACCATAGACAAACGTCAACTCAAGATGGATTAAAGACAAATGTAAAACAAATTTTCTTTTCTTTGTATCATTTCCTTAGGATAAATACCAATAAGTGGGATTTTGGTAAGATAAATAAAGTAGGAATATTTTATGGTTCTTGAAATGCTTTGTCATATTATTATAGAAAAGATTTACCAGTTAAAATTTGCCATCAGCAATGTTTAATTCTCCCAAAGTATACGGCATTACCATAATTTTGCTCATCATTAAGATTTAAAGTACAATTTGCTGTCTGGAAACAACAGATGCTGGAGAGGATATGGAGAAATAGGAATGCTTTTATACTGTTGGTGGGAGTGTAAATTAGTTCTACCATTGTGGAAGACAGTGTGGTGATTCCTCAAGGATCTAGAACCAGAAATACCATTTGACCCTGCAATCCCATTACTGGGTATATACCCAAAATATTATAAATCATTCTACAATAAAGACACATGGACATGTATGTTTATTGTAGCACTACTTACAATAGCAAAGACTTGGAACCAACCCAAATGCCCATCAATGATAGGCTGGATAAAGAGAATGTGGCACATATACACCATGGAATACTATGCAGCCATAAAAAAGAATGAGATCATGTCTTTTGCAGGGACATAGATAAAGCTGGAAACCATCATCCTCAGCAAACTAACATAGGAACAGAAAACCAAACACCGCATGTTCTCACTTATAAGTGGGAGTTGAACAATGAGAACACATGGACACAGGGAGGGGAACATCACACACCGGGGCCTGTCGACGGGTGGGGGGAAAGGGGAGGGAGAGCATTAAGACAAATACCTAATGCTTGCAGGGCTTAAAACCTAGATGACAAGTTGATAGGTGCACCAAACCACCATGGCACATGTATACCTATGTAACAAACCTGCACATTCAGCACATGTACCCCAGAACTTAAAGTAAAATTTTTAAAAATAAATAAATAAAGTACAATTTGTTGTTTAAATTTGTTTAGTATATGAGGGGATTAGCCACAATATGTTCTCTTATACCTGTGTGAGAAGCTGCTTGGTCTGAAGCTACCATTTAGCTGTCCTGATGTCGTAGTTCTTGTGTGTGTGTGTGTGTGTGTGTGTGTGTGTGTGTGTGTGTGTGTGTGTGTATGTGTGTGTGTTTTACCTAAATATCTTCTCCATTCCAGCAAAAACAATTGTCCTGCTTTCCAATATACATAATTATGTTAACGTGACTTTTTTTGAGCCCTCAAGTGTTTTGCTGGGCAGAAAAGTTTACTTATAAGTTTACATAAGTTAAAAAGAAATAACTTTCAATTCATTGAAGTTACAAATTTAAAAACCTTAGGCTTTTGAGTTCACCTTTAAAATCTTATTTTATTTACAAGCAAAATTTTTTATAATAATTTCTTTGAAAATTGTTTAGAATAATATTTTGTTCTATTTATAAACTTTTTAAACACAAATCATTTTAACTGCATTAATACAGTATTCCTTTCTTATTTAAATACAGTACTTGTTTATTTTTTTAAGAACTAGTATTTTTTAAGTACTACTATTTTGACAACAATTTTTCTAAGTACTTTTAAGACATTATTATTCTGGTAAATTAAACCTATAAATACAATGTACTTTATGCTTTTTAAACTCGTCCAATACTTAATAAGCTTGCTAAGATTTAAGTTAAAAGCACAAGTCTAAATTACTTATGCAATTACACATTTCAAATTGGAATGATAAGGTTGATCTATGACAATAAGTAAAAGTGTTCTTAAACATTATGAAATAAAATAATAGATATATCAGATTCTTTATTATAAAAGTATTAATGCTATATGTTTGATTTTCTTAAACATCTGTAATTAGTGCTAAGTCTACCCACCGGAAAACTTTCTTGGCTAACTGAAGTTATTCCTCCACCAGAGCTTCAGCCTGGGATACTGCCTGAATTTGTGTTAACTACTCTGGGGAAACACATTGAACTCAATATATAGTCTATAACAGGAACCCCATAACTTAAAAGAAGTATTGGTTTCATGTCCCTCCTAGTCTCATACCCAAAATGGTCTTCATCTCTGTTTATCTCATAGAAGCCTGAAAATCTTACCCAGACTGGTCACTTCATGGTCCTGGGCA
The DNA here is from genome assembly GCF_000001405.40 of Homo sapiens. NCBI lineage: Eukaryota > Metazoa > Chordata > Mammalia > Primates > Hominidae > Homo > Homo sapiens. The sequence goes on along the minus strand of NC_000012.12, from coordinate 28,042,472 downwards.
CTTGATTGGCTTCCAACTCCAAAATGCTTTGAACCGGACTCAGTTCTGTATTCCCGTTTCATTTTTATCCTGTCATGTCATGTCATGGAAACAAAAAAGGGCTTCAATAGCCAAGGCAATGCTAAGCAAAAAGAACAAAGATGGAGGCATCATGTTACCTGACTGCAAACTATACTACAGGGCTACAGTAACCAAACAGCATGGTCCTACCCATAGGTCCTATGGGTAGTAAAATAATATACAGCTGAAATTATGATTTCAGCTGTATATTATGTATGGCTTTGTCTGACAACTCAGTCACAACTTCCAACTTTATTCTACTGACAATAATAAATTAACAGCCACTTTTGAGCTTTTGTTTTTCTCCCCTTTGGAATTCATGTCTTTCTTTTCTATTATGAAATCTTTAAGATGAAGTCTTGCAGAAATTGACTTGATTAATTTATAGGGCACTACATGACTTTACATTGCACCTCTCACATTGTTGGGTTCATTAAGTAGTTATACCTTTAATATAACACTGATTTGTAGCCAAAGCATCTAGAAGCATATGTTGTATAAAAAGGGGCAGAGAGTTTGCAAGGACTAGAAAAAAAATTTTGTCATTATTTCAACACTTGGTGATATCTAAGAATTCCAGGTATTTGATGAACATAGGAATATTTTAATGACCACATAATTAGAAAAACAATAATTATGGTTCATTGAGCATTTACTCCAGTGCCAAATAAGATTCACTGAGCTCTCACCATGTGCCAGGGACTCTGCAAAGTACTTTATATGTGTTTTCATTTTATCTAGTCATTATAGAACCCATGGAGTGATAGGTTTCATGATTTTCTGACATTCTTGGTGTCAGGGGAAGAAAAGGAGAACTCTTAAGACAGAAACATATATGTACTAAACACCAGTGTGACACCTAGCTCTGGGAATAATTAAGAGCTATTAAATAAAGTGTCTCTTGAATAGTTTGGGGTGTTTTGACTTTCATATGTTAATCAGCAACAGACATTATATGCATATTGGAAGACATGCTACTGTGAAATCATTTTAATCTTCACATTCAAGTTTCAGGCCTGCTACTGTTTGAATGTACCCCCCAAAAAGTACATGTGTTGACATTTTAATCCGCAATGCAACAGTCTTCACAAGTTGGACTTTTAAGAGGTGATTTGCTCATGAGGACTTTGCCCTTATAAATGGATTAAGATCATTATCGTGGGAATGGATTAGTTACTGTGGGAGTGAACTCCTGATACAACAGTAAGTTCTACCCTCACACTTGCATCTGTTTCCTGCCTTCAGCCATGGGAGGACCCCCACCAGACGCTGGTGCTGTGCTCTGAGGCCTTCTAGCCTCCAGAACTGTGAGCCAAATTAACTTCTGTTCTTTATAAACAACAGTCTGTGGTATTCTGTTATACAGCAGAAAACAGACTAAAACAAGGCCCTATAAGAGTTAAAGGAGAACTCAGTCGTGTTTATAGTCACAAGCAATCCTACCATGTGTCACTTCACACAACGGTCCCAATATTGCTGCCAACCTGAGAGACCATCTATTGACCATTCATTTCCATCCTGAGGTGACAGAATGGCTACCAAGCCAAAGGGAATGGAGTGGAAAGAGCAAGTAAATCCATACAATGCCACCTTTTTCTTGTTACCCTCCCACCATCCCTACTTGCTAAAGTAGTATCACCAGCACTTCCATTTTACCTATTCCCTTCCCTCAGCTCTACCTTCCCCAGATCATTTTCCACTTCCATCCAGAAATAATCAAGAAAAGTTATCACGTATGTGGTAGGTGAATGTCTTTCTTCCTTTGTATATACAAAGTCAAACAAAGGTTTGTAGAGAGAAGCTAAACAAAGTTTACAAACCTTTTCGAAAGCAAACCAGGTTGAGAGGATGGTAGAGGGAGAGAAAGCATGGCATCTGCTACCCAGAGGGACCGAGGAGCAAAGTCTTCACTGGCAATTCTGGAGCTGAAACAGGGCAGCTGACATGAGGACAAATCATCAAATAAGCTCCCCAATTCACAATGTGGCTCACAGATGGGTTTCAATAACAAGGCTAAGCCATCTGGTAGCTTCCTATTTTAGCTAATTATTCTTGGTGACTAAGTGCTAAGCTCTTAAAATTGTTGTTCAATTTTTTTCCCACCATCCCTCTATATTTTAGTTTCCTGGGGTAAATCCCTGCTCTAGTTACTTTTCTGGGGGAAAGTCTGGCTTATCTACTATTCTTAGCAGAAAAGCCCCTCAATACTTACTTTAGCACTCTGGTTCTGTAAGTGTTCCAACAAAATACGCTACCATAAACAGCAGAGTTAATTAAGCGCCCACCCCAGAAGTCTAGGGGTATGGCCCAAAGCAGCTCTCACTAGCAGTCTTGTATGAGACCTTAACATTTCACACCAGGTTTGATTTTTGCCTTCTTATTATATATGTGCCTTATTTGAATATGAAAAATGATTCAATTATCATTGAGTAAAATTGAATCTCCAGGAAGATGCATCAAATTATGATGTGTCATTTTATACCATTTATAAAGCTGTCACATTGAAAAAGTGGAACTAAGGAAAAAGATTTCAGGAATGTAGGGAATAACAGAAGAGAGCAGCCCTTGTTAGGTGCTGATAAGTAGATAAGTGAATTCCTGAAGAAATAATTACTGGATCTACGAAGCAGCCTAAAACTGAAAAACATCATTGGTAAATTAGACTGGCCAGAGGCCTTGGCCCCTAAGGCTTCATTCAACCTTAGGGATGACCTTCATCTGCTCCCAGCCCCAGACCCTGAGAGCCACCACTTGGGGCCAACCTGTTTCCTCAGTCCAGAAGAGAATGAGATAAAGGGGACATAGGCTCCAGATACTCCAAACTATAATCGAAGTGCAGTGGCCTGATCTTGGCTCACTGCAACCTCCACCTCTCGGGCTCAAGGGATTCTCCTGCCTCAGCCTCCAAGTAGCTGGGATTACAGGCACGTGCCACCACACCCAGCTAATTTCTGAATTTTTAGTAGAGACGGGGTTTTGCCATGTTGGCCAGGCTGGTCTCAAACTCCTGACCTCAAGTGATCTGCCCACCTCGGCCTCCCAAAGTGCTAGGATTACAGGCGTGAGCCATTGCGCTCAGCCCAGAGCCTGAGTTTCACAGCATGGCTAATGTTGATTCAAATCCCAGCTCTTTCTTTCAGAAACGATGTAACTTTGGGCACAATTGTTTCAATTTCCTCAGTGATAAAGGTGTAATGCTTATCTCACAGGACTCTTAAAGACTAACTGAGGTTAAACATTTAATAGGTGCACATAGTTGGTGCTTTCAAAACGATAAAAAGATTTCTTGATTTAGGAAGTGTACAATGATTTACAAAGAAAATAAAGCCCTTCTATTTCATATAACTAATCTAATACTTTAAATGAGCTCGCTCCCACACTGCTGGAGGTAGACTGAAATGAAGAGAAATGAAGAGCACACATTTGTCCACTGACCGTAACTTTTGCCTTTTAGGAGTCTTGGATGTGTGTTTAGCCTGTTGGTTTTAACTGCTGCCCATTGCAGAACGTCTGGTCAAGTCCCTGAAACAGTCACACTGGAGTCCACTGAGGGACGACGGCTGCCGAGCCTGCGGTCTGTACCCTGCTAAGTGGGCCTGATCAATGAGCAGCAAGGCTGTATCTCCTTGCAGCAAGCTCCCTCTGCATGTGAATGTCTCCATGCCAGAGTTCAAAATGCACAGTGAAATGAAGCAGCTTCTCTTATTTTGACCTTTCCTTGAATCTCTCTAAATGCATCCTTGATCGTTAACATTCAAGGCTTGCTTTTCCAAGTTGTCTCTCCTTCCCTCCACACCCATCAGGGCTGAATGGGGAGGCTCCCATCCACTTTCCTGTGGCCTCTTCCATGAGGCTCTTGAGCGCTATCCAGTCCTGGCTTATAGTACCTTAAAAGTCAACCTCTATGTAGATATGTAGCTACATCATGGATGTTTAGGAAATTTGAAAACATTTCCTCTGTAGATAAATTCTAGATTTCAAGACTATTGTCTTGCTGCGGTCTCAAAAATTCTGTTCCACTTGTCAAACGCTGGATATAGACTCCGCATTCTTGTGGTAATAATCCCAAACCTCCCTAATATAAATGGACGTCTCTGGCAAAACAGAGAGAAATACAAACAAGAAAAGCACACTGATAGATTTTAAAATATATATTATTCTCATGCGTTATTTCTTATTTCCAGAAAGGCAGTGTTTTATTCGGTAAGGAGGTTTCATAGCACTATATTATCAATACTGTGTTTTGTGTGGTGGGAGTTAAACTGGGTTTTATGTGCTGGCCTAGGAGTGTGATCATTATAAATAACATGATTTCTATGGGAAAATTTCTTGAGAGAGCCTAATAACTGACTTCCAAATGAATTTTTGGAACACAGATGGTTTGTAAGTTGAGAATGAACAGTATTCCACTTTAAAACCAAAAACTTCCCTGAGTTAAACAAAATGTAACCTAAGGAGGATGATTATCTTGGACTAGAAAAATTAATATTTCTAGTTTCTCTGTTTTTATAACTTACTTCCTTAGCTTTTTAGCACAAATATAATAGATCAGAGAGGCCAAATTTGAACTATAAACTAGAGGCTGTGGTGAATTAAATATATTTGCTTTGTTCTGCAGATGTTAAACACAATTCCCACAAAATTTGAAAGGTGGAGTTAATTCTGACTTCGATGAATCTAATGAGCATCTGTTCTGATTTTTCTAACCATTGATCTTATTTTCTTTTAACTTGATACTGTATGGTTTACACAAGTCCATGTGATAATTGCAAATAGCCAAAGGTGAAGTCATTCCAGAACCCCCCAAAACAGTTTTTTTTCTTAAAATGTCAAATGATTCTTTGAAGATATTTAACAATTTAATATGAGTGCAGAATATGTGACACATAAATACATTTACATTTATTTCTATAAATGTGTCTACACATAAATACATAACTAACTAAAGATTGAGATATTTCTTTCTATAAAAGAAAGATGTTTCTTTAACAAGGATATAGAAAATTATGAAATTCCATGTTATGAGATGAATTGTCTTCTTCCAAAATTCATATATTAAAGTCCTAACCCAGCGTACTTCATAATAAGACCACATTTGGAAATAGGGTCTTAAAGAGGTAATTAATTTAAAATGAGGTCATTAAGATGGGCCCTAATTCAATATGACTGGTGCTCTTACATGAAGAGGAAGTCTTGACACAGCCACATGTACAGAGGGAAGACCACATGAAGACAAAGGAAGAAGACAACCATCTACAAGCCAAGGAGAGCAGCCTCAGATGAAACCAGCCCTGACGATACCTTGATCTCCGACTTCTCACCTCCAACATTCTGAGACAATCAACTGCTATGGCATAAGCCCCTCAGACTAAGGTACTTTGTTACGGCAGCCCTAGCAAATCAACATGCTCCATAACCTAAAATTATGCCAAGAGGTACAAAACACAATTAAGGTTATTTGTTCTGCAGATGTTGAACAAAATCTGCACAATAGATATTTTATACTATATTAATAGATTGTAGGTTTTCAAATTAGGTTACATAGTGATATTTTGGAGTTCTGCAAATGCCTTAATTTAAATTTTACTCTAGGCTATATTTTAAATGTTTTAAAAATATATGTAAACATTCAAATATATTGGATATCAAAATTCAGTCCATTGCAGGCTTTCATTTCACTAACTTGCACTGCCCTGTTATACCATCATTGTGTAGATCTCAGAACAATGCTTCTCCTAATATCACTGTGTGTATATTTTAATTATCTGAAAATATCATCAGAACTACTGCAGTTTTGCAATAGTATTTTTAAAAATAGCATCCTGCCTAAAATGTCTATGTTTGGTAGTAATTCTTTAACTTTATCCCATTAAATAAAGATTAATGGATTATCAAAATAAATTACATATCTTTATAAGAAAACCTGGAAAAGCAGTAGGAAGAAACATTCCCATAACCTTGCCTATAAGTGATATTAGTGATTTTCTCTGTAATTTCTTGTTTGACAATTTTGTTTTTGTTTTGAGACAGAGTCTCACTCTGTCGCCCAGGCTGGAGTGCAGTGGCACAACCTCGGCTCATTGCAACCTCCGCCTCTCGGGTTCAAGTGAGTCTCCTGCCTCAGCCTCCCTAGTAGCTGGGATTACAGGTGCATGCCACCATGCTCGGCCAATTTTTGTATTTTAGTAGAGATGGGGTTTCACTATGTTGGCCAGGCTGATCTTGAACTCCTGACCTCAAGTGATCTGCCTGCCTCAGCCTCCCAAAGTGCTGGAATTACAAGCATGAGCCACGACACCCAGCGACAATTTTTTTTTATCGTTAGAGTATTAAGACATGCATATACTGATAATTAAAACTAAAAATATATAATTTCTGGGAGTAAAGTTAATATGTAATATGCTTATTAAGAAACATTCTGAAAATGTAGAAAGTAGCAAAGGAGAGAATAAAAATAACTTAGAATTATAAACACCCACATGTAAATGCAGTCCTGCATGTATATTTGCTTATTACATAAAGTTATGGGCATGCTCTTTCTGTGCAGATTGTTGAGGAGATGTATGCCACACACAAATAAATCTCAAATAAGGCTCTGGTGTGTGTGTTCAGTGCATGCCCTTACATATAATAATCAATTATATAAAAAGAAGAGACTACCATGACATGCTGAGTCATGGTGACATCATGTTAAAGACAGCTTTGGCACATAATGTAAGCTCCCTGTGTGATTTATGTATGTAGCATAAGAAAAGTAAGCAGTTGATACGTATTATTAGCAGTTAAATTTTCAAACAAAAATGTCCTAGTAATCCTCTTTCAAATGTTTATATCAGTTTAATTAAAGACAACCTTAAGGTTGCAAGGGAAGCTGCTTTAAAAAAACTGACACTATTTGCATCTCAAGATTTCCTCAATACAAACAATAACCGGATGTTGATGCAAATTTGCAGTAATTATCTACAAGCTTTGTGTCAGTGTTTTTGTTCTTAATGTATAGTCCCATGACTATCCTTAACTGACTTTATAGTAAGGAAATATTTTACACTAGTTAAACACTGGTTTCATCCTATCATTTCAACCTAAGATTTAATTTTTTAAAAAAAATGTGAAAACCACTGATGTAGAGGAACAAGTAAAGGAACTAGGATCTTTAGTCTAGAGAAGAAAAAGTTAAAGGGGAACATGTAAGCGGCCTTCATATATCTGAAAGAGAAGTTTGCTTCAGAAAGTAGGAGAGTGAATTGATGACGGTGCAGAGGGACAAATCTTAGCACAATACAATCTAAGGAAGAACTTTGTCATGATTACTCCTTTCTGCAAGTAAAGGGTTGCCTTGTGGGCTCCCAAGAACCCCATCATGGGAGATATTCAAGTAAAGTTTGGGTCTTTAAGGAGACTGTACGAGAGTCCTCCTTGGGAAAATCATTAGCTCCAATTCAGAGCTCAGAATTTCTTTCTGCTCTTAGAGAAGAAAGAAAGCCTGTTGGCCCTCTCTTTTAGGGATTTAAAAGAAAACCTGTAAATTTTCTGTACTCTTAATCATGTAAACCAGAAGATTAAAGTCACAGATAGCCAGAATGCTCCACCTGATACAGCAGAGTTCTATGGCACAGAGCAACTTTATAAAAGCTCTCTCCTTAGATGGGGATAAAGTGGTGCTTGGAAACACTAAGCTTCAGAAATTGGGGTTTGCAAGTAGGAAAAACAAGAGAAGGGATTCAAGAAATTACAACCTGAAGGGGGAAATAATAATTTTGAGTTGACTTACATAAGAACACTTTACATGCTCAGGCTTATACAACTAAAAAGGGAAGCAGGGAAGCCCTGTCAATGAGGATGCTCCCAAGCCTACCCTAATATTAATGGCTTATTCAAGCTCTTGAATATTTACTTTGGGAAAAAGCTGAGGCATGCCCATTGCAAACTGTGACTTACTGTTGAAGTCATCCATGACAGGCAATATAACATGATCATTAGCAGTGTACCCTCTGAAGCCTGACTTCCTGGATTCAGAGCCTGGTCCTACCTAGAAAGAGACCAACTCATCCCAGTTCGCCAAGGACTTAGCCAGTCTTAACTCTGGAAGTTTCATATTTTGAGAGCCCTCTCCAGCCTCAAGTAAACTAGAGGAGTTCACTGTGGTAGCTCTACAACTGGCCAGTTGGGAGAACTTGTATAAGGTCCCTAAATTCTGTGGGAGCAATAAATATACCTACCTCATAGAGTGGCTCTGAGGATAAAATGAGTTATAAATATAAATTGTGTAGAACATGGTCACTCAGTAAACAGGAGTGGTTTTTAGTATCTGTGATCTGTTCAGCCAGCAATGTGACCTTAAGTAACATGAAAGTTCTAGTGTGTGTTTACATGCAACTATTTAAAACAAGCCCCCTCCCTGTTTTCATCATGGTCCTACTAATAGCCCAATTACTAGCCATTAAAAAAAAAAGGATGCTCTCCATCATTTAAATCCATAGACTTAAATCCGCATATAAACTTCATGTACATTGCTTAAATCCACTGATCAGAAGACTATATCCAGGAATTTCAGGAAAGTGCTTCATCTGTAGAAGATACAATGGGTCTCAGAATCACCTGAAACAGCCCTGAGTAGGATGTTGGAGGATGGGGAAAAGGGAGCAGAAATGATAGATTATTCAGCAGGATGAATCAGAATGATGACACAGATCCATGCAAATGCTAACAGCAGAGACACACTAAGTAAAAGGCCTGGGAATAATGCAGTGATCGGTTTCATCATTTATACCACGTTTGATATTCAACATGAAAAGAAAAAATATAAAATGTAGAGTATTTACACCTAACTACCACTGGGCAAGGACATTCCTTTACCACCTAAAAAGTACCTTCATCATATATGGGGGAGAGACCGACAGTGGGAGACCACACCTTGCCAGAATCATCAAGGGTATCTCATTTGCTTTGAAGTGACACCACCAGACCCACAGCCACCATGCCACTATTTCTACTTTAACTAAAGTGGGCTGGATGATCTTTGAATGTCCTCAGGGGAAAAAAAAAGTGGGGGAGAGAGTTTGCTGATTCAGAGCTTAAAAAGTTAGTAACAGTCACTAAAATAAAGCAGGTTAGGACAGGTTGCTGAAGACCCAAATATGTGTGGACAAGATCCCATAAAGCACATTTCCTGGAGGCCTGGATCCTGCTTCCTGCCTTCTAAGCAGCTGGTGTGGGGTGTGTGGGGCAGGGGTGTTATGTTCCCAAGCATCCCCCTACCACCAATCCTTCTCAGACAGGAAGTTTGCAAGTTGCTAGGCTTTGAAAGTATTGTTCCTTGAGATGATCCAGAGGTAACAGACCACATCAATTTTGTTCTTTCACGGAGTAGTTCTATTTATTCACCCTGGAGATGGGTTTAGACAAAAGAAAACCTTAGTCAACTGGAGCCTGACTTACCACAACCATCAATTAACATTTTTGCTTTTCATTTAGCTTCCACGAGAAATGAAGTGAATCACAAGAAAGTCATTTGACATTAGGGATTCATCTTTTTAACCAACCAGTTCCCAGGTCTAACCAGGTATTCGCAAGTATTCTTTTCTGACTCATCTTGTTTATCTTCTATATTTATTATCAAGTTAAAAATGTGAATTTATGCTCAGATCAGTGATCCTGTAGCATAAAGTGGTGTGAAATATCCAGAATGATTTCTACTAAAAGGTTTTTACTTACCTTGCAATCAAAGAGTGTACTAGCCTTTCAGAATAGGGAGGAAACTTAGAGATAGCATGTGTGCTTCTCACCTGGTTCATGCCCCTTCACTCTCCAGGGTGTCCTGGTTTGAACAACAAATTATTTGCTCACCACACAGACCATCTATCTCAGTGCTTTTAAGACAATGTTAGCCGCAAAATCCTTTTTTCAAACTAAATCCTACACAGCGCTCTAATATATAGACAGGGTGACTGGACATCCCAGTTTGACCAGAACAACAGAGGGGTTTTAGAATTAAGGACTTTAAGGCAAGAATTGGGACAGTCCCTGGTAAAACAGGTAGGTCAGTCACCCAGTTACAGACTACACAAAAGCTCTGTTTTGTCAGTGTAATTATATTTTGTAAATACAAATTCATAATACTCATTTATTATTAACTCAATCAATGAAAAAATAAGGCCGTTTTAATAACCACAAAAAAGAATGATATTGAGAATGAGGGTAGCATTCTTATATAAGCCTCAGCATCCAGCTAGTTTTTTAACTCATTTTGGTTTCATAGTACTGGGGAAATTGATTCACATGAAGTAGTCATGAATGATAGCTTGTTGCTGATATTTTAGCAGTCCCCTTTATAAGCTCAGAATTCTTTCTAATTAGACCAACCAAGAGGCTTATAAGAGGAAAAGCAGGCTGGGCACGGTGGCTCACGCCTGTAATCTCAGCACTTTGGGAGGCCAAGGCAGGCGAATCACGAGGTCAGGAGATTGAGACCATCCTGGCCAACATGGTAAAATCCCGTCTCTACTAAAAATACAAAAATTAGCCAGGCGTGGTGGCGTGTGCCTGTAGTCCCAGCTACTCAGGAGGCTGAGGCAGGAGAATCGCTTGAAGCGGGAGGCAGAGGTTGCAGTGAGCCGAGATCATGCCACTGCACTCCAGCCTGGTGACAGAGTGAGACTCCATCTCAAAAAAAAAAAAAAAAAAAAAAAGCAGGCTGTTTTCACGTCAAATCACTAACCATATCTAACATATTCTTTATGACAAATGCAAAAGTCATATAAGAAGCATCAAAATTTATGAAGGGCATAAAAACTCTCTATTATATGACATACATATGTGTATGTGGTATGTGACATGCTAGTGGCCCACTTTTTATTGCTCAACTCTCCCAACATCAGATATTAAAGCACCTGAGCCTGTCTGGCTTTCTTGCCGTTTAATTAAGGCTCTCACATCTGTTCTACAATAGTGTAGTGTCCTGTACAATTCTGCACTGGGGATACATGTGTAGGCCTGAATTGTAAGAAACACCAGCACTCTTAATCAATATTAATACATTTGCAAGAAAATGTGGCAGAAGAAACTTTGTCCCATGTCTATACAAAGCAAAGTTAAACAGGTAGCACAAATTGAAAAGTTGTCAGTGTGTTGCATGTTGACATGTAGCATATCTTTGCTTGTTATTTTTAATAATCAACACACTTTAAAATGATATTCCAATTATGTCTTTGCAGAACTGGGTTTCAGAAAGTGCAAAAGTAGTGACGATAGGGAACACTTCTCTTTTTTTTCTTGAGACGGAGTCTCGCTCTGTCGCCCGGGCTGGAGAGCAGTGGCGCGATCTCAGCTCACTGCAAGCTCCGCCTCCTGGGTTCAGGCCATTCTCCTGCCTCAGCCTCCCGAGTAGCTGGGACTACAGGCAAGTGCCACCATGCCTGGCTAATTTTTTGTATTTTTAGTAGAGATGGGGTTTCACTGTGTTAGCCAGGATGGTCTCCATCTCCTGACCTCGTGATCTGCCCGCCTTGGTCTCCCAAAGTGCTGGGATTACAGGAGTGAGCCACCGCGCCTGGCCAACACTTCTCTTTTTTATTATTTTTTATTTTAAGTTCAGAGGTACATGTGGAGGATGTGCCAGTTTGTTACATAGTTAAATGTGTGCCATGGTGGTTTGCAGCACAAATCATCCCATCACCTAGGTATTAAGCCCAGCATCCATTAGCTATTCTTTTTGATGCTCTCCCTCCTCCCCAAAGTCCACCCTCTGACAGGCCCCAGTGGGTGTTTTCCCCACCATGTGTCCATGTGTTCTCATCATTCAGCTTTCACTTATAAATGAGAACATGCAACATCTGGTTTTCTATTCCTGCGTTAGTTTGCTGAGGATAGTGGCCTTAGCTTCATCCATGTCCCTGCAAAGGACATGATCTCGTTCCTTTTTATGCCTGCATGGTATTCCACAGTGTATAAGTACCACATTTTCTTTATCCAGTCTACCATTGATGGGCATTTAGGTTGACTCCATGTCTTTGCTATTGTGAATAATGCTGCAATGAACATACACATGCATAATGAATAAGTTTCGTAAAATAATAATTTATATTCCTTTGGGCACATACCTAGTAATGGGATTGCTGGGTCAAATGGTATTTCTGCCTCCGGGTCTTTGAGGAATTGCCACATTGTCTTCCACAGTGGTTGAACTAATTCACACTCCCACCAACAGGAACGCTTCTTTGTGTAGCATTTATTGGATGTCAGGCTCTAAATATTAACTCATTTAGTCCTCACAACAATCTATGAGATAGGTTTTAAATCTATTCAATCAAAACTGCAGTGCTGGGCTAAGTGATTTGCTGAAGGTCACAAAGCTGTGAAATAACACTGCCAGACTTGAGCTTACACAAGCTGGATCCAGGTCTCTGTTCATAGTCACTAAACTTGACACTACACTCACCTCGGTATAAAAACCCTGCTCCAATGTGTTTTATAGACCAGGAAACCTGCTCCTGAAAAGTTATGGGACTAGACCAAGCCCATGAAATTTGTAAATGGCAGAAGGTCAGGAACCTGCCTTCCCAAAGCCCACTTCAAAGTCCTCTCTCCCACACCTGGACATCCCTCAGGGTGCTCTGTCTAACCCACCTGTACAGACATCAATAACAGATTTCAGTTCTGCGCTCCCTGTGCCCTGCCTCTGGGTAGCAAAGGTTTTCTAATGCGTGGGGTATTGCTTTATGAGCATTTGCTCAGCAGGACACACGGATGCACACTCCACAGCCCCGACAGACAGAGAGTAAGTGAACAAGATCCTGATTCCATTAAAAGAATAAAGAGAGCCTCTTTCCTTGTACAGATTATCTCAGCTATAAAGGATCTAAGGATCTGTTTACAATTACACAAATGTTGCCTGTTTTGTTCCAGACAGGGCTCTTTAAAACATCATAAGCAAGCCGCAAGGGCCCAGAGGGTGGCCCCATTTCTCCCTGAGTATTAAACAACTCTGTGAGCTTCTAGAGTACAAGAGGGACTCCTTTCATCAGTAGCTACAGAGAAGAAAACATCTACCAGTTTGGTGCATATGACTGAATTACAGTTCGAATATACCCCAAAAAACAGACTGATGGAAAATCACAACTGCCTTTACACATGCATGCCATTCTCTCCTTAATTGATGTGTTACTAAAATTTGATTTAAGACTAGATACAATACTTTCATCTCTAATACTTTCCGAAGAAACATTACAAATGGTGAGATTCCCAAACTATCTTCTTTCCAAATGCATTCAGTCCCTGTTAGGTGAAATACTACATATTTGCAATCAAAAAGAGAAAATGATATTGTACAATATATTGTCTTCAAAATAGCAGAGGTACTGTATATTTAAAACTATACTTTATAAATATACTTTAAAAATAAACACATATAGTAATTTCTGGAACATATTGAGACATTGTAACTAAACAATGTTGAAAGCATAATTAAATAACTGTTCTTAGTTATCTTTAATCCTAACGCCTGTGGGAAAACCAGATTTAATTACAGAAGACAAGACGGTAGGTAGCAGTAGTAGTGCTGAAAGGAGCTTCTGGGCACTTTCAAGAGCTGAGAATAGGAGAGTGCGTTGGTTCTCCGTGTCTAATTTTACTTCTAAACAGAGGCTGTCCTTTTCTTTCTTGTCGGAGGCAAATCAGTAATAATGGTCATTTGCTGCCTCGCACTGTCTTCTCCAGCACGCTGCCTCCTTCGCTGTGGCTCCAGTCCCCACCGACTCTTAGTGAGGTCACATGCTGGCCATGGGTGAGGCAGGGTGGCCTCACACAGACACATCTCATGGCACTTTCAGAGGCTGCAGATGCCTGCTCAGAGCCTCGTTCTAGGGCCAGAGGTTATAGCACTAACTAGGGGCTGGACAGGGGCCACAGTGCTGCCTGCATGACCGCTGGCCCTGACCGTGTTGGCCCCACCCACCACCTTACCCCGAGGCAGTATCCACAGTCGGTGAACAAGAATGTTCTATCTTTATATTTGCAGGGTAAGAAGACAGGTATTAAAAAAAAAATCACCCTCAATAAAAAGCAACGATTCTTGCTCCACAGAAGAAAAATATGAGAAAAACATAGGCACTGAGTATAGATTTCATAAAGAGAGTAGACTAACTTCCATGACCCAAGACCCAGAACAAATCCTCTGACTCACACACTTAGTTTGATGATCCTTCTGTTCAATGTGGCTTCCTCTAGGAAGCTGCCTTGCCCCTCTGTGGCAGATAAGGGCCCTCTCAACTTCTCACTTGGCACCTAATCATAGTTTCCCTCACTCTGTCTCAGAACCCCAACCTGCTCATCCTCCTCACTGGACCTTGGAATGTGGTGGTTAGGAGCATGCACTTTAGATCCAGCATAATCTGAATTCTGGTCTGCCCATCCGAGCTGGTCTGACCTTCTATTAAATCTCAATTCCTTTATCTGTAAAATGAGGAGACAAATAATTTCTTACCTTATAGGTTTATTGTTACTAACATATTATAATAGTTATTTAAGTTCCTGGAATAATTATTTAAGTTCCTGGCTGTATCCCCAGCTCCTATCATGGTGTTCAGCCCAGAGAGTGTGTTCAATAAATATTAATTAATTGAATCAACGAACAACGCTCAGCTAAGGAAGGGAGGATAGCACCAGATATGGAATGATGTCTTCACCCAGGCAGCTGCTGCTAAGAAACAGTTAAGTTGCCCCGAAGGTTTTCTGAGAACTTGATGCTTCCTCTGATTTTCAGGATGATAAGTGGTCCCTGCTATTTCAAGTGTGGCAGGGCACCCTTGCTCTGTGAAGTGCCATTTCACAAACAGGCTACCATCTGCTGCAATGATAAAAACGTTTGGCGTTAAATTTGCTGTGGTTGTCAGTATTGACGTGCCTGATATTTAGAACACTTACTTTTTTATGGAGCTGATCTGGGAGCACAGAAAGCTTCTGGGAAAACTGCCCTACATAGCTGCCCTTTACAGGCAGAACAGCTGTGCCGCAGTTTTACTGTTCTGAGGCTGATAATAGGGAATTGAAGTATCCTAAGAGCCAGGCTCCATTTCAGAGCCCTTGTAGGTTGCTATTCCAGGGCAGTGCACACCCCATCTGCCCTAGCTTTCCAGCTTTGTTTTGATTTTAGTTCATCACATTGCACGTCAATGTTAAGTTTTTAAATGTTAAGTTTTAACTTTTTAAAGTACCATAGTGGATATACATCTCGGTTCACAAGTCTGACGTGCAAGAAAGATGTTTCCTTGAGTATTTTTTCTTATTAACAACTTCATTTCTACTTAGAGTTCCTATTTCTTGGAAGCCGCAGAAATTTGATTATTCGTTCAGTCTGAATCCTTTTTCTCAAGGGTTGCAATGGAAGATTTGAGGATTCAACAATGTCAAGCTGGTGTGGAGTCTGGGATGTGCCTGGTTCTCCATGCGTCTGTCTTTGCCGAGTCATCTGTGGGCCCTCAGGCATGGATCCTCCAGCTCACTTGGCCACTTCCGGTGCCACCCTTTGGAGGAGGGGAATCATTCTGTGGTTTTCTGGCTAGGGTAGAGTGTGGGATTCTCAGTGAGGCTCTCTATGGCCTTGTTTGCCAAGGCTCACTGCAGAGCCATTTCCTTTCTAAAGCTGTGTGACCTCCAGGGGTGGGGGTCCAGGCACATGTCCTTTAGAGAAGGTGAGTTTTAGAGCTCACCTGTCAAGGAGGCTGTGCGGGCCCTGCTGTCAAGGACCACTGCCTCAATACCCCCACCCTTGCCCCATCTTTCCTGGGGTCAATCCAGGTGACAATCTGGAGAAACCTAATATTCATCAAACTCTCAACAATTTAAATAATTCCAGAGTCCTTGCCATTTCCCTAAGGCTGTGGGGTTTTGAAACAGAGAGAGAGAGAGAGAGAGAGAGACTCCCTTTTTTCTCTCCTTTGTGCTCTGCCACATTCTTGCCCTGTGGCCAGGAGAACAGGCCAGGAGTAGGAAGAGAAAAGTGGAAATTGTGGAGGGCAGATGGAGAAGGGAGGTGGGCATCTGTTAATATTTCAAAAATGATCTAGCCACAGTACACTCATTGGTCTCATTTAACTGTCACGACAGCTGTGTGAGTAGAAGACCTCACTTTTCAGGCGAGGAAGCTGAGACTTAGAAAGGCTAAGTCATCTGTTCAGTGCCAGTCTGGCACTGTTTTGTTTTTTACTGGGAAGGTGGCAGAACGGAAACCCAGTCTCCACACCCCACATGCAGTGCTCTTTCTGCCACACACTGCGTTCCAGGTGAACTGGACTCCTCGCTGTCTTCATTCACAGCTTCTTCCTGCATATCTTTGCGCCTTTCTCCATGCTCTGGAATGTTCCCCTCACCATCACCACCTGTCAGAGTCCTCCCCATCATACATTCCAGAAGGCTTTTCTCGTCACTTGCGGCAGCAGTGACTTCTCCCTCCAAAACCTTTGGACAGCGGCTCCCCTCACGCTGCCTCTGCTATGCTGCTCTGTCAGGGTCATGTGTGCTCAGATCTTATTGCACCCACAATTTTTTTTTGACAGAGTCTGGCTCTGTCTCCCAGGCTGGAGTGCAATGGTGCGATCTCAGCTCACTGCAGCCTCTGCTTCCTAGGTTCAAGTGATTCTCATGCCTCAGCCTCCCAAGTAGCTGGGATTACAGGCATGCACCACCATGCCTGGCTAATGTCTGTATTTTTGTTAATAGTAGAGAGGAGGCTTTGCCATGTTGGCCAGGCTGGTCTTGAATGCCTGGCCTCAAGTGATCCGCCTGCCTCGGCCTCCCAAAGTGCTGGAATTACAGGTGTCAGCCACCGCACCTGCCCCTAGACTGCAAGCTCTTTGAACCCAGGAACCCTATCTTATTTTCTTTAAAAGAATGAACAAATGAATGGATGGGTGGGTGAGTGGAAATAGGTGCTCCATGACTCCAAAGAGAAAGGAAGAGTCTTGGCAGCCTTACATCTCAAGTCAGGCCATAGGATGAGCTCTCGAATTACAGGGCAAGACGGATGGGAAGAAGCCCTGCGAACTAGTTGGCTAGTCTAGAAGAATGTTGGCAGCATATGTATTGAAGAGAAAAAAAAAACAGAATCATGGACAGTCAAAAAAGGTCTTCACCCTAGACAGGATGGTCCTTCCAAGTGAGGAGTGTTCATATGTCTACCACTGGTTATTCCTCCTGAATTCTCTGTCCACATAAATGCAGAAATAACAGGGCCTGAGCATGAGCTGATGTGAAACAATCACCTCGCAGGGTCATTTTGAGGAAAACAGTGTAATAATATTATTACACTAGCTTCCACTTACTGGGGGTCTATGGTCTACCAAGCTTATGCTTAAGATTGTGAAAAAGGCCAGGCACGGTGGCTCATGCCTCTAATCCTGGTACTTTGGGAGGCTGAGGCGTGAGGATGGTTTGAGGCCAGGAGTTCAAGACCAGCCTGGGCAACGTAGCAAAACCCCATCTCTACAAAAAATACAAAAATTAACCTGGCATGTTGGTGTGTGCCTGTAGTCCCAGCTACTCAGGAGACTGAGGCAAGAGGATCACCTGAGCCTGGAAGATTGAGACTGCAGTGAGCTGTGATTGCATCACTGCCCTCCAGCCTGGGCAACAGAGCAAGACCCTGTCTCAAAACAAAACAAAAAAAAAAAGGATTGTGAAAGAAAAAATTCTCAGTTTCACTTATCAACAGTTAAAGATTTAAAAATAGCTATTAGGGGCTGCTTTAACGACTTCTAAGCATCAGCATGGAAGAAGATGTTCAAAATAACAACAGGGAAAATTTGAATTTGTGAGAGTGGAAGGAGGCATACAGATATTTTCTAAGTGGCCTGCAGAAAGACTTCGTGGTTACCCTGTAGGAAGACTAAAGAAAATAAGTAGTTGGTTGCTAAGCACCATCTTTCCATCAGCATATCTCCACACTCAATGACATCATACAAAACAAGATTCATTCTTATGAGCCATGAGCTAAAGGCTTGTCTGAGGGAAGTTCATCCCAGATGCCTAGCATATCAGGAATTTATTTAGCCAACTGGTAGGTGGTTGATCAACTTGAACCATGGTTACAACCAGATGTATACAACCACATGCTATGTCAGAAAAGGTGAGTCTTAACTGGTTAATTATAATTTCTCCTTTTCTTTTAAATGAAGTACCAGGTAATAATTTTTAAAAGGTACACCAAGTTTATGCTAGGGCTTTTCTTTCCACAGTTTAAAGAGGGAATAGACTATGACAGGGAGAACATTTTAGATAAATAAATGATGTGTGTAAATTTCCCCCATTTGTTTTAATCTTCTTCCTACACGCTATCCGGCAGTCCATCCCACCTGTCCCAAACGGTGGGACAGGCTGCAGGCTACATTCTTCCACCTTTCATGGTGTCTTGCCTTGGTAATTGCTGTTCCCTTAAAATAGAGCAATGAAATCAATGCTATGTGGGCAACTGACAATGAGGAATCTCTCATATTTCCCAGAACGAAGAAAATCTTAGCCATAGGGGTAAGATTGTGTTGAGCCAGATACTATGTCAAACATTGAAAATATAAAAACACAAACATTAGTAAATAAGCTACAGCCCCATTTTTCCCAGGTGGCCTCTAAAATGCACCTCCCCTACCCCCCACAGTGATCTCCACCTCCTGGTATTCATGCCTTTGTGTAATTTCCTGGTTTTGAGCATGAGCTGGACCTAGTGACTCACTTCTAATGAACAGAATAAGTCGAAAATGATGAGCTGTCACTTCCGACATTAGAGGGCAAAAAAATCTGTGGCTTCTGGCTTTGGCCTCCCCTCTCACTCTCCCACTGGCTTGTTCTGAGGGAAGTGAGCTGCCATGTTGTGAGCTGCCCTGTTGTGAGCTGCCCTACAGAGGGGCCCATGTGGCAAGGAACTGATGTCTCCGGTCAACAGCAGCAAGGGCCTGATGCCTGCCAACAGTCACTTGAGCGAGCTTGGAAGTGTATCCTCCCCAGTTGAACTCTAAGATGACTGCAGCCCTGTTGAATATCTTAGTTGAAGCCTTGTGAGAAACCCTGAGTCACAGTGATAGAGTTTGGATGTGTGTCCCCACCCAAATCTCATATTGAAATGTAATCCCCAGTGTTGGAGGTGGGGCCTGGTGGGATGTGATTGGATCATGGGGCAGATTTCTCATGAATGATTTAACGCCATCCCCTTGGTGCTGTCCTCATGATAGTGAGTGTGTTCTCATGACATCTGGTCATTTAAAAGTGTGTGGCACCTCCCCTCCCACTCTCTTGCTCCTGCTTTCCCCAGGTGACGTGCAAGCTCCAGCTTTGCCTTCTGCCACGATTGTAAGCTTTCAGAGGCCTCCCCAGAAGTAGATGCCAGTGTTAGGCTTTTTGTACAGCCTATGGAACTATGAGCCAATTAAACCTATCTTCTTATAAATGACCCAGTCTCAGAAATTTCTTTATAGCAATGCAAGAACAGACTAATACACACAGGCACCCAAATAATCTGCATCCAGGTTTCTGATCCACAGAAACTAAGAAAATAAATGTTAGTTGTTTTAAGCCACCAAGTTTTGGGGTAATCTGTTCTGCAGCAATAGCTAACTAATGGGGTAATAGTTATAGAAACAAAGAGTAACCCGCATCCACAATGTCTTTATTATGTGTCTGAAACTGGACTAGATGTTTAACATGCATCATTTCATTTATTTCTCACAATGCTATGAGATATTATCGTTATCCCCGTCTTACAGGTAAGAAAACTGAGACATAAAGAGGCTGCTTGACTTATTCAAGGTTGCACTGCTAATAAATGGAAGAGCTAGGACTGAAGCCCATGTCTGATTTAAGAGTCCTTGCTCCAAAATCAATGAATACCTCCTCCCAGGCACATGCAATGAGCTTCATGCAACAGAGAAAGTGTATAATTCCCCAGGTGACCAAGGGAGAGAGTCAGGCATTAATGCCTGAAGGTTTTAGAGAAGTTTTTGTGTTTATGTTGGGTCTAGAAGAATAAGAAGCTGATCAGACCTCTAAAAATTGAAAGTCCATTATAAGACTTGCCTAAGCGGACTGTCATGTTCAAAGGCATATGAGGTAGAAAAATCTCTTCAAATTTCAGAACTTCTGGTATAAAGTTCAAAGCTATGGGAGATGAGGCCATGTAAATAAATAAGGCTAGATTGCAAAAGGGTTTTCTCCTGTTAAAAACACAAATTTTTAATTGGGTTACTCTTCCTTTATCTTTCAGCTCTTAAATATAAATATTAATTCAAAATCATGTCCAAAAAAACACAATTTAAATTTCCAGATCGTGTAAGTTAGGCTTTGCAATTGACCAGAATTTTTATTTGAAGTTTTAGATTCAGATTACAATAGAGACAGTTCTAAGAAATATTAACTTTTTCCTTTAGTGGTCTATGACAAGTAAATACATAACGAACAGAGCTTACTGTTTGTCAACATGACTAATTCTGTAAATATTATCTCAGCCTCTATGATTTCATTGATTTAACGTCAGGTGTGTGGTTTCATCTGTCTCAACAAGCTGCAGATCTATTGTGTCTTACTTGGGAAATCTGTGGCCTTGGGTACCGGAAAGAAAACACTCGCAACATTGAACTCTCATTTATTGAGGCAGTAGCTTTTATTGTAGAAAAATATAAAATTGCAACTGATATTTGTGATGTCAAACATTAAGTTTCTATACACCCAAATAGATCTCAGGTAATTGAAAGAATTCTATTATCTTACAGTAGAAAAACAATCAGAAATGCTAATATTTAACAGCATTGTAGAGGAACAATAACTGATTCAACTTTAAAACATAAAGAAAATAAAAACAAATGTATAGAGCTTTTAAAATCTAAAAGTAGCCTGGGCAACATAGGGAGACCCCATCTCTACAAGAAATTTAAAAATTAGCTGGGTGTGGTGGCACGTGCCTGTGGCCCTAGCTACTTGGGAAGTGGGAGGATCACTTGGGTGGAAAGGTCAAGGATACAGTGAGCCGTGACCGTGCCACTACCCTCCAGCCTGGGTGGCAGAGTGAAACTCAGTTTCAAAAAGTAAAATATAAAGATATTATGCTGTAATTTGAAAATAGGAGAGCAACATGTTGCAGCAGTCATTTCCATTAAATAGGATAGAAGGTTAATATGTATAAAGAACTCCTGAAATCTATACAGAGAACCCCAATATGCAAATAAGCAGTCATAGTTATTCCCAAAATACCTATTATATTCCCAAAATACCTATTATATTCCAGATGCTTTGTTCATTCTCTCATTTAATTTTTTCAATAATCATGCAATGTCTTGATTGTTATTCTAGTCTTGCCGCTGAGAAAATTGTAGCTTAGCAAGATTAACTCACCCAAGCTTAGTTAGTGGCAGAGGCATCTTTTAAATGGGACTCCAAGGTCTGTATTTTGTCTGCCATGTCATTCCATGTAATTGAAAGCATGAAGATCACGAACAGACTCTATATAGCTTCTGTACTATATTATCCTCAAATATAACCTGAGTAAATTAAAGCAACTTGCAGGTAAATGTTAAGCATTCTAAAATATCTTTAGATTTAATGATAACACAAATATTGATATAGGTTTGATAATGGAAGGAAGGAGTAAATCTTTTACCACATCAACATTGTGATTTGATAAAACCTAACTGGAAAGAAACTTGACAAGCACTTTATAAAAAAATTATTTGGGACTGTCCGAACATCACATTCACCAAAGCCTTTCCTGGTATCTCCGTGCGCAAACAGAATTATGTACCTTTCCTCTGTACCTTGAAAATATTGACCTCTATGTCCCCAATCCATCACATGTGACTGAAACACAGAAAGAATTTCTTCATAAGTATTTATTGACTAAATGAAGAAATAATTCCTTAGAAGTGAAAAAAAAATATACACATGGAGACATTCATTACAGCATTCTACACAATAGTAGAATGATGAAAACAAGGTCGACAAAACCGAAATGGTTAAAAGACATTATAACAACATGACTGATTATTTCATAGCCTAACAATTTAATAGGCAGTCACCAGTGAAACTTCAAGAATATGTAGCCATTATGGAAAAATAAAAGTTGTATACAAAATGTAGTGCGATTGATCTAATGTTAAAATGTGTTTGTATGGGACAAAGACTGCAAGTTAATATACTTAAAAGTTGCCAGGTGCAGTGGCTCATGCCTGTAATCCCAGCACTTTGGGAGGCCAAGGCGGGAGGATTGCTTGAGCCCAGAAATTTAAAACCAGCCTTGGCAACATGGCGAACTCTCTTCTCTACCAAAAAAAAAAAAAAAAAAAAAAAAAAAAAATATATATATATATATATATATATATATATATATATATATGCTTTTTAAAAATTCTGGGCATTGTGGCACATGCCTGAGGTCCCAGCTACTTGGGAGACTAAGGCAGGAGGATTCCCTTGAGCCAGAGAATTTGAGACTGCAGTGAGCCGAGATGGCACCACTGCACCCCAGCCTGGGCAACAAAGCAACATGCCGTCTCCAAAATAATAAAATAACAAATAAAGTAAAAGTTAATGGTTATCTTAGAGTGGTGGGATAAGGTTTTCTTCAATCATTTCTCACAATTTCCTTTAATGCGATTGTTAAATTACTTATGTTCATCTCAAAAATGACTAAAATTGCTCTTAAGATTATTTGGAGGCCAAGAAAAATAGTTTGTTATCAAAATTTTCTGTCTTGACCATTAAGAAGTTCAGAGCTACCATAACTTTCCTTAGCTGTTTGTTTCTGATATAATTATTTTCCCCCACCTTGATCTCTATTAATACTTAGTTCTTACTTTTATTTTTCTTTTAGTGGTTTGAGGAATTTATAACTGTGCTTTTTAAGCTGCTTCAAATCATTTTTACAAGTAGGAGGATTATAAATAAATAACAATAAAGATTGCCGTGTAATAAGTAAGCTATACATAATACTAAGACATTATTCAAGGAATTAAGCACTAGAACACTGTATTAGGAATTAGACATCTAGACATCAGATGTCTAGAAAACCATCTGAATGCTAATGAAAGCTAACTCCTTTACACTTCCAACCTTCATCTCCCCTTCTCTCCCAAAGAACTAACACCCTTACACAAAACTCTACTGCATTACTTCTCCATGATGTCTTTTTATTTTAAACTTGTACGAGCAGTGACTACCTCAGCACAGCATATGCTGTTAGTATTAATGTGCTGCTGAACGATATGGCATCATCTGCTTCCACTGGGACATCACCTCTCCGTTCCCTTCCATGCCACCACCCTCCTCCTCCCCCACAAGCTCTTTTTCTTTCAGGATGTGATCTGTACTTTAATCCTTCTTGCTCCATTGTAATGCTTTGTATTTTTAGCTGTTTTGTCATTTACTAAAAGCAAGAGTCAGATAACTCAGTTGTTCATTTTATAAGCAATTCCACTCTCAGAACAAAATTGCTCATTTTAACACAGCCCTTGGAGTTAACCAAGGTAAGAATACATGAGAATTAGTTGTATCTGGCTCTCTTTTAAGGTTTTATTAACATCATTTTCCATGTAGACTCTTTTAAAAGACATGCTATCTAAATAAAACCAGCCTTAAATCATATAGGAAGAGACTAGTTCAGGTAGGGTATCAAAAGACTAATTGTCTGCATTTACTAAATCAGATAAAATGACCTTGAACGCCTATGGCCATTATCAACCCTGTCTTCTATCCTCCTCATCCATCCTCCCACGAATGGTATAAATTGGTATTGAACAGAAAATTGGAAAAACCAATAGCATTTTATACTATTTCATAATAAAGAAGAAAATGGCAAAGTAAAACCCCAACAATATTTATATAGTTCAACTCTTTCTTACTCTATAATTTGAAGACCTTTCAGGGGTTTGAAAGATTTTCAAAATATTATTTTCAGTGTGCAAAGGAAATAACTTACTTAATACCTGGCAATTAAGCCTTTGCAAACTCACAGGCTGAAAGGTTTTATTTATACCAAACAGAGACCAAGTTGAAAAGAGTTAAAAGAATATATTTTGCAAAGTTAAGTATAATTCTAAGCAAACCTAATCTTTTCTAAGTACACAACAGTATTTCCCAAACTGTCTCCATTAAGGGGGATAAACGGAGAGGAAGCCCATACATTCTACATTGTATTTCAGGGCAGGAATTATATTTTTAGTAGTGTTAAATAGAAAGTCTTGATAGTCATTTCAAAGGAACCATTGATACCAAAAAAAAAAAAAAAAGGTGGAGAGAATGCCTGTTATGGGCATGTGCTTGCTTCTAGCTGGCTGACTAACAATAGAAACACCATTTGGGATGTTCCTATGAAATGAGCACCAACATGATTTTTCCTTAACAATGTGCAGCCATGGATGAATCAAGTCAGGTCAAGAAAGCGATTTTTGTTACCTGTGACATAATGATATGATTAATAGCTATAGAATCATAAAATGTAGCTCAAGGACAGCCTTAGCTATAAAATAAACACATCCAGTCTTCTACTTTTATTTTGTAGGTGAGGAAACATGGGTAAAAGGTACAGGGGCTTGCCCAGGGTCAAATGATTTATGATAATCAGCCTCAGGACTAGAATTCCTAATCCAGTGTCCTAGTGACCATGCCATACTGCCTCTTATCCATCCTTCCATCCACCCAGCCATCCATTCAGTCTATTCTACAGGCATTTATGAAGCGTATCCTTATAAAGCTTAACTCTGTGCCAGAAACAATGTGTGGCTCTAGTGAATCATTCCTCCCTGTGTGCACACTCCTTTGCAGTATGACTTTTCTGTTCCTCCCGTCAGGTGGTAGACTTTATTTCCCCACCCATTGAATCTGGACTGACTTTGCCACTCGCTTTGACTTTGAAAATGTAGTGGAAGTGATATCATACAACTTCTGAGTCTAGACCTCAAGAGACTTTGCAGCTTCTGCTCTGCTCTTCTTGCTGCTTGGGGACTGCCATGCCAAGAAGCCCAAGCAAGCATTCTTAAACTTGAGAAGCCATGTGGCAGAGAACCAAGGTACCCCAGCCAACAGTCCCAGGAACTGCCAGACATGTACATGAAGCCAAATAAGACCAGCCCAGTCCCTAGTCAGTGTGCCAACTGACCACAGATGCATGAGTGAGCTCAGCCAATACCATGTAGTGCAGAGACTAACCATCAGACAAGCCCTGCAAATCATGAGCAAATTGTTTATAGCCTCCACGTGTTGGGGTGGCTTGTTATATAGCAGTAGATAACTGATCAACTACATTAAGTGCTAGTCTCTAGAGAGAGAGAACTAAAGAAAGAGGTGAACAAGACAGTCTTCACTATCAGGGAACTCACAGACTGATGAGGAATACAAACACAAAATCATCTTTAAGAAATAGAGTGATGTTTTGTGCAGTTTTCTAAGTGAGAAATTGTCAGGGACTAACTTATGGTATTGAGGGTAAATTCAATAGGGTTTGATGACTGAGTGGGATGATTGAAGAAAGAGTCTAGTATGATGTCTACTTTAGAATGCTTGATAGCTAGTGGTAACATTAAGATAGAGAAGGCCTAAAGAGGGGTAGGTTTAGGAGAAAGGAGAGGGAGATGAGTAGTGCAGATTTGACATGTTGACTTTGATGATGAACCTAGAAGTTTCAAGATGAAGTTCAGGACTCTGTAACATCTAGGTAGAAACGGATACACAAGCTCAAAGTTCTGGAGAGCAGATTGGACTAGGTGGCATCCTTGAGAATCATCTACACCTATTAGTAGTA
Organism: Homo sapiens; assembly: GCF_000001405.40. NCBI lineage: Eukaryota > Metazoa > Chordata > Mammalia > Primates > Hominidae > Homo > Homo sapiens. The sequence continues at coordinate 28,016,647 of NC_000012.12, read as the reverse complement.
GTTTAAGCCACAGGCAGGGATTAAACTGACAGAGAGAATGTATCAACCAAACTAGAGGTGAGGGAGTAGAGACAGTCAGTGGATTGTTCTTTGAAAAATTTTCTGGGATCAAAAGGAGAGACATAGTGGGACACTATGTCTCAGGCCAGACTTGAAGTAAGATTCTGCACTTATTCACATTTTCTTGTCTCATGCCAGACTTGAAGTAAGATTCTGCACTTATTCACATATTCTTCTCTCCCAAAGAAAAACTACTACACAGAGCATCAGCTAAACAAATAAAATGTGCTTAAGAACTTGAGAAGACTGAGCACGGATGTTACATCACTCAGTACACAGCATTTCTTTCCAAAGATCCTCATTAGAAAAGTCTTCCCAAGTCTCTCATTGGGTCACTAGCTGTTGAGTCTCATTCTCTCTTTTGAGACACTTCCCTTGCAGGCCCTCACACACATTCTGCCTTTTTCCTTGTCCAGAGAACTGAATGCCCAGTTTTCTCTGGGCATCCGTGTAGCCATAGGCCCTGGAAGCATAGCCTCTAAGTGGGATCACCAAGGCATTCACAAAACAAAGCAAGCACCTCACAGGACATTGCTAAGAAGCAAAAACAAAGATCTCTATATCTTGGTACATATTGAAATGGGTTTCAGGAAAACACAGTGGAAAGAGACTAGAGCAGGGGGAGGAAGTGCAATGCAATATCAGGCTGGGCACCAAAGAAATAGATAATCCAAAGTAATGCAGTTGAGTCCTGGACAAGGATGATAGGCGTAAGAGGCACAGAAGGATAAACTGGACTCAAGACTTTGAATTGGGCATTGTTGATTCTTATTTAACTAACTTGACCTACTTTTTTCTTTCTAATTGGAATATGTTCCAGTTTCAAGGAAGAACTATAAATCAAAATGGGGAACTTCTTATAGTTAGAAGTTTAACCTAGAAACCATGAAAAATAACTAAAAATTTAGAGAATTATTTTCCATTTTTTAATTAACATTGTTCACCTACAAGGAAACTTTAATAAATTCAACCATTCTGGCTTTTAATTAACATTTCCTCACACAATGACAAATAAGACGGCAAAAATTATGGAAAAACACAATTATCACTATTTTCTTTAGCTACTATACTGTATTAGAATCTGCTAAGATCTCTGGCTCTATTTCCTATGCATTTTGTAAAACAGAAATATCTCTGGAATGAACTCTGTACTAGAAACTGCTCCCTTATAGAATGGGGAAAATAATTTATGTTATGGTAATTATCCTTGTCCAACAAAATATGCTGAGGTAAGAATTAATAGAACAGCCAAGTTCTCCATCTTTTACTCAGAGGAATAGAAATAATTCCAATATGTATCTAGTGCATCTCGAGGGAAGTTTTGTGATGTTTTTATATTTTACCAAACCACTTAAGAGTTTTGTGATGCAAATGAAAATAGTAATTTTAGCTGGCAATAAAAATAATATCTTGACAATGGAAAAATTTGCTAATAATCAATTATACTAATTAGGATTAAGAAACTATGACACTTCAACAAATATTTAGAATCTGGTATAAAACTAGTTATGAAAGACCACATTTTTTCCAAGAAGTATTAATGCACATAATTAGACAATGGGGTGTATACGTCTATTAAACAGGAATCACATTTCTGCTCCTTTTCAGAAGCCTACATGGATAAGGATATAAATATGCACAAACTTCCTGATTCTGAGAGAATTATTTATTTTTGAATGGTGGGAAGGTATTTATTTTAAAGATGAAAGAAGAAATTCGGATACCTTTAGAAGGCCTGAAGCCCCTCCATATTTTTCACCCAATATTTAGGCCTCATATTAGCTACCACCATTGCAATAAGAAGGCTTGAGCTTTCATAGCCCCAGCAGACATCCTTGGATGTAGTTCTCAGAAGCTTCTGGAGGTCTGCACTCTATAAGAACACTACAGATACGACTGGAAGTGAAAAAAAAAAGGTGCTCTTTTCCAAAATATCTTGCATATTCCTGTCAAAGTAACTGAAATTTCACCATTAGAGATTTTGTTCCCTGGGTTGTTTTCTTTTCTTTTTTTTTTTTTTTTTTTTAGAAAAAAAACCTTTGTTCTCTAGTGAGTAAATATTTACTGAACACTTACTGAATTTTATGCTTAGGTTTGTGGTATATGTTCTGAGAGTTATAGGACAATGTAGGATCCAGTTGCTGCCATCAAGGAGAAACATTCAAGTTGGGAAAACATGAAGACTACAGAGTCCAAGGTAAATGGCATTGCGTTGTCCTGTGTGATCTTTTGGCCTGTCCAAAGAGAAAGACACCACAGAACACAGAGAACTCTGGAGAGAGAAGGGTGTGTGGCAGGTGGATGAAGAGTAAGCAAGAGTAAATAATGCCCCATGGGCATTTATGCAGGTGCTCTATTCAGCTCAAATGTCCAAATGTCCATGGCCACCTTAGTGTTCCTGCACCTGGGCAAGGAAAGGTGGCTCTTCTAAGATTGTTCATATGTCTTATGACTGGAGCTCAGACATGGGCTCACGATCTGGTGTAAAAATATATAAAACAACACCTTAGTCTGTACAAATTTTATAATGTGTTACATTTCAAGATAATATTAAAATGAAACACTGTTCTCATTGTAGGTTCACCCTGTCTCTTTTTAATGATGCTGTAAACTTAAACAGAAAAAATGCTCAGCTCTAACTGCAAAATACAACATGGGAGGGTCAGTGAATACTGTAAATGTATTTTTTAGATGTATTGCTAAAACAGGTCTGTGGGTTTATAAGTTTATTTTACCAACCTTCAGCTTGCTGATACACAGGCCAGAACAGGCCTCAAACTTGGTTGTGCTTTCCCAAGGAAAGGTGCTGCCAACTGCAGGTGCTCACAAGGTGGGGATGAAAGGGCCAAGAGGGAGATCCACTGGGAGAATGGACATAGGGTACAGACTGAGAGTAAAATTAGAAACTATTGAAAATCCAAAATGGTGGCTTCAAAGAAGGCTGATAAATGTAATCATTCATTTTCCTTGGTCTTGACATGAGATTTTAAATGTCATAAATATTATAAACCCTGACCTCCCTCTCTTACATGAACTCATCAACATCTGCATTGTAGATTCTCTAATCTTCTAATTTAATTTGTTATTCTCTAATCTAACCCAGAACATTAAAATGGAACCTTTTGCCTTTAGATGCATAAATAAAAAGCTTTCAACTACCCAGAGAGAAGAAAATTTTTCCATACTCCCTGGGGACTGAAAAATTGGGAGAATGATACTCTGATGATAGGCCCTCTTCTTGTTCTTCACAAATCATTATATAATTACAAGAAAGATCATTGGATTTAGTAAAAGGCCATTTTCAACCTGCTCAGTGGTCTTGCAAAAGGCCAGAATGTGAAGGTCTGGTACTCAGATTAAAATGTGAGCCAATCTATCTAAAATAAAAATCATAAGCCCTGCTAGGGGAGACCTTTTTTTGTCCTCCTTGTGATTCCATATAGAGAACCCTCAGTGGACACCATTCCCAACAGCTTCCCTGCTTACCCACACTTCTGCTCCCAAACCCTGCAAGCTTCTCCTGTTGGATCTGCTGCCTACAGAGAGGATCTGTTCTGCTCTTCATTGTGCATTGGCTAAGTGGGGCAGGTCCCCCTACCCTGGCAGCCTGCAGGCTTCCAAACTGCCCACCGCACTTGGGGCTAGGCAGCCACCTGTCTCATTCAGGGGTGGGAGCAAGCCCATTTAGCCACATATCCGAAGCCACATTCTCCTACCAGCTTATCAGGAGTAAGGCTGGCATTTGTCTCATCTCTCAGTCTCCTTTGTCGTGTTTTGTTTAAGCAGAGAAAGAGAGAAAAGAGTGGGGGAGAAAAAAGGACTAACTAAGAGAGGTCATTCCGTTATTCCATTCAGAATTACTAAGCATTTCCAGAAACCCCAGACTGGGTGGTAGTTGCTCTGTCTCTGACTTTGGTGGCCTTATCTTACCACTTCACACAGAAACATCCTCCTTATAAGTCCGTTTTCCTGACTAGACTGTAGGACCTTAAAGACATGAACTATGTATCATCAACATTTGTATCCCCAAAAGTTAGAGGATACAAATGGCCCCTTATGTAGCCAGGGCCAGCTTCATGGGCATGTGACCCACACCGCCAGACATGTGGGGCTCCACCTTTGGTTTAATGCTCTGCTGCCACCATCTTGACTTTCTTAATAATTTCTTCCCCACCTTTTAAGAAACAAGAGACAACAAAGAGCATTTGCAATTCCCACACAAGCAGTAATCATGAAAACTAGATCTCTTGAAAGATTTCCCACAGGGAAGTAAAAATGCCTGCCTACTATTCCACACTCCACATTTTTATCTTGCAACAGGCCTTGCAAATTATGTGTCCAGTCCTGGCTGTAGTAGGCCCTCAGTATTAAAATAAAATTGCATGTTAGGATAAATGACAACAGAGTTCAAGGCCTGACTCCTGGCTCTGCCACTTGCTATGTGACCTTGGCAAAGTTATTTAAGCCCTGAAGCCTCAGTCTCTTCATCTCTAAAATTGGAATAATAGTAAAAATAATAGTTATAATGAAAAATTAAATTAGAAACTCCAGGTTAGGTGCTTGCTACAATTCCATCCATGTTGTCGCAATTACGCTAAATGAAATTAGCCAAAGACAAACAAATACCACCTGTTCTCACTTATGTATGGAATCTAAAACAATCAACCCACACAAGCAGAGAACAGAATGGTAGTTTCCAGATGCTGAGGGTGGAGAGAATGGGAGATTATACCCAAAGGGTATAAAGCCTTTAGCTAGGAGGAATAAGTTCAATTTTTTTGAGAACTATTGCACAGCATAGTGAATATAACTAATAATTGGGCACTGTCTATTTCAATAACACTAAGAGTAAATCTCAAATCTCATCACAAAAAAATGTCAAGTACTTGAGGTCATGGAAAGGTTAATTAGTTTGATTTAATCACTTCACATTGCATTCAAAAATTATAACATCACTTATATATACAATTATATATATAATTGATATAAATTGTATATACAACTATAGTTTGTCAACATATAATTAAAGTGCTTGCTACAATACCTGACACATAATAAAGTCTTAACAAATATTCAATACTTCACTTATTACTACTGCTACCAGTGCTAATACCATTGCTGCTACGGCTAATATAAAACTCAACTGGATTCCAAGGAGAAGACGTTGACATGGTCATGTCTTCTGGAATGTTCTGTGCTTTTGTTGATTTTAGCTCCCAAACTTTCTTCCGCTAGCTCTTAAAAGACCTCTGAGGGAAGTTATTGTTTCACCTTTTAAGAAACGAGACAACAAAGAGCATCTGTAATTCCCACACAAGCAGTAATCATGAAAACTAGATCTCTTGAAAGATTTCTCACAGGAAAGTAAAAATGCCTGCCTACTATTCTGCACTCCTCTGTCCCATCCCACAAGTGAACATTTACGTTCTCTCTCCTTTATCTCATCTAAAGAAAAACGAAGAAGGAGGCTTTAACAGCCCCCGATGCTGTTACAGAGTGGGGGAACATGGCTTCCCTTGGGGAGATGGTAGAAATGAGCAAATGGCCCTGGGAGGCAATGCACACCCCCATTATTTAGGGACAACTCTTTTCTTGGTAATTGGGTCTCTTTTTTTTTTTTCCTAGCTCCTTTTTAAAATTTCAATATATTTAACTTGCAGAGAAGTCATGTCATTTGAGGTAAGTTTTCTGAGAATGTTCTCATTTTATCACCTCCCTGCAGATTCCCTTGTACTCCTCTGAGCTGCTGGGAAAGTTCTGAATCTATTTTCTCTTGACTAATTGGGTCAGACAGACTCCTAGCATGACGAGAAGCGAGGTTTTTCCAGAGGTGGTGGGTTAAAGATCTTGATTCTGCAACCGGTGAGCTTTTCATTATTTCTCCTCTCAGTTTTAGAAGAGGAGAGGATGTCAAATATATATGATGCAAACCTTTTTGAAGCTAACAGTTAAGTAACTTTTGTGTTTGTGTCTCGCCTCATCAAATCTTGGTTCTTAAATATATTCTGTCCTTAATCTAGACTTAGTTTACCTGCATTTCTCTCTATCCCCATAACTTCCAGCCACCCACAATGGTTAGACAAATGACAGAATCTTTTCTTATTGGATCAGCAAAGGGCACCAACCTATTTCACCTGAATTTAGTCCCTATGATCTCTAGTTCCTTCCTTTTAAGAAATCTACCAGAGTCCACATCTTTTTATACAGGTTAGATTTTACTCTCTTCTCTTTCTGATAACTCCTAGAGCAAGGTAGCAAGAGTAACAGGGCACACTAATCCCGTGTAGAAAGATGGTATCTGCTCATGACTATCACTTCTCTAGGTTACTAGAAACAGGGAATTCTTAAATTCGCTGACCCTACATTTCTCAACAATCAGCACCATCTGTTTTTCAGGTTCCATCCATTCCTTGACTACATGAGGAAGTCTGTGTCTTAAAATTTTTAGATTATCTGAATCTAGTAAGAATTTAATTATAATTAATTATAATGTACAATTGAAAATATTTTCAAATTCTTTCTGTGACTTTAGTACCTTCCTAAATAAAATAAATTTAAGGATGATGGTAAGACTATTGTCTAAGTACCATTAAAAATAGACATGGAAGTCACTGGGAACCCAAAATATTCTTTGGATGTTGGAATCTCTGTCCACAAAATCCGCTGTGTAAGAGATGTAACTTCCTTTGTTTTTCTATAATTGAACTTAATTTCTTTTTTTTTTTTTTTGAGATAGGGTCTCACTCTGTTGCCCAAGCTGGAGTGCAGTGGTGAGATCTCAGCTCACTGCAGCCTCGACCTCCCAGGCTGAAGTGCTCCTCCCACCTCAGCCTCCTGAGTAGCCGGGACTACAGGCACGAACAACCACGCCTAGCTAATTTTTGTATTTTGTAGAGACAAGGTTTCGCCATATTGCCCGAGCTGGTCTCAAACTCCTGAGCTCAAGCGATCTGCCTGCCTCAGGCTCCCCAAGTGCTGGGATTACAGGTATGAGCCAACATATCCAGCCAGAACTTAATTTTTATTATATAAGTCCTCATGCTTCAGGTAGAAGAAACTTAAGCCCAGTCAATTTATCCCTGCCACCCTCCCTCTCCCTGGAGTTGTGTATAATTTCCAGAAGAGTTTATGTGGTGCCAGAGCCTGAGAGGTATGTCCTCTTAGAGTCGTCACCTATCCATGGTGACATGTATTCAGCTGTCTTGCTTCTGTCTCGTCTCTGACCCCATGTCAATATAGGTCACTGTCCACCACAGGCTCTCCATGTCTGCGTATTTATCTGTCCGTTTACCTGCCTGTCTGTCTCTCTCTCTGTTTTTTATCTGTACTTTTCTCTCTCTTCTGGCACATGGGATCCTTTTGCTTCTCTTACAAAAGAAAGGGAAACCCAAATGAGACGATCAACAGGCCATCTGGGTGTACAGGAGTGATTATAAGGCTCCAGGACATGTGGAAATTCTGTGAGGTCATCTCAAGTCCATCAGCGTGGACATACTTCATAGAGCCTTCTACTTGCCCACTCCTTAAGTTCCTCCTGAGAAAGGGGACCCAGGCCTTCATTGCTCTCAAATCTTCAAATCCAAAGCCAGCTTGGATTTCAGTTATCCCCTACTCTGAACCTGAGAGAGGGAGAGACAGAGAGACAGAGAGAGAGAGAGAGAGAGAGAGAGAGAAGCATGAACCCTTCTTCCTCCAGGATCACATTGTTTGTTCACCTCCTGCTTCCCCTTAAATGCTCCCCACTCCCTGGTTTAGGGGATCTTTGCTTGCGTATGTACTTGTGCACTTGTATGCATCACTGGAGGCACTTAGTTGTGTTCATTTAGGGGCAGGGTGGGGTGGGAAGATGCCACAGGAAGCCATCATAAGGTTTCTACCAAGTCTGTTTCCTCTGAATGAGGCTTTCTTTCCCCACAGAGGGCCTGGGATTTTGAAACTCAAAAGCCAGCAAAAGAGCCTTGGTCCTCTCGGTTTGTCATCCGTCCCTTGAAGCAGTTATTATAGAGCACCCAGGAATGTCCTGAATGGAGGTACAAATCTCCAGAGCTGTGCTCTTCACAGCTCTAGCTATCAGCCATGCAAGGCTGCTGAGTGCTTGGCATATGGCTTGTCTGAATTGAGATGTGAAAGATACATACCAGATTTCAAAGACTGTAAAAGAAAAAAAAAAGGTAAAATATCCTAAATCATTTTTTATGTTAAGGCCATGTTGAAATAATAATATTTGGGGCATATTAAGTTAAACAAACTATATTATTAAAATTAATTCTACTTGTTTCTTTTTATTTTTAATGTGACTATTAGAAAGTTTTTTTATTAATACATTTATAGTACTTTAATCTTTATACATCTTATTTTCTGTTACCATCCAGAATTCTTAAGTAACCAACCTATTTTAAAAAAAAAAAGGGAGGGGGAGGAGCCAAGATGGCCGAATAGGAACAGCTCCCGTCTACAGCTCCCAGCGTGAGCAACGCAGAAGACGGGTGATTTCTGCATTTCCATCTGAGGAACGCAGTTCCTCACCAGCAATGGAACAAAGCTGGACGGAGAATGACTTTGACGAGCTGAGAGAAGAAGGCTTCGGACGATCAAATTACTCCAAGCTACGGGAGGAAATTCAAACCAAAGGCAAAGAAGTTGAAAACTTTAAAAAAAAATTAGAAGAATATATAACTAGAATAACCAATACAGAGAAGTGCTTAAAGGAGCTGATGGAGCTGAAAACCAAGGCTCGAGAACTACGTGAAGAATGCAGAAGCCTCAGGAGCCGATGAGATCAACGGGAAGAAAGGGTATCAGCAATGGAAGATGAAATGAATGAAATGAAGCGAGAAGGGAAGTTTAGAGAAAAAAGAATAAAAAGAAATGAGCAAAGCCTCCAAGAAACACGGGACTATGTGAAAAGACCAAATCTAAGTCTGATTGGTGTACCTGAAAGTGACGGGGAGAATGGAACCAAGTTGGAAAACACTCTGCAGGATATTATCCAGGAGAACTTCCCCAATCTAGCAAGGCAGGCCAACATTCAGATTCAGGAAATACAGAGAACGCCACAAAGATACTCCTCGAGAAGAGCAACTCCAAGACACATAATTGTCAGATTCACCAAAGTTGAAATGAAGGAAAAAATGTTAAGGGCAGCCAGAGAGAAAGGTCGGGTTACCCTCAAAGGGAAGCCCATCAGACTAACAGCAGATCTCTCAGCAGAAACTCTACAAGCCAGAAGAGAGTGGGGGCCAATATTCAACATTCTTAAAGAAAAGAATTTTCAACCCAGAATTTCATATCCAGCCAAACTAAGCTTCATAAGTGAAGGAGAAATAAAATATTTTACAGACAAGCAAATGCTGAGAGATTTTGTCACCACCAGGCCTGCCTTAAAAGAGCTCCTGAAGGAAGCGCTAAACATGGAAAGGAACAACCAGTACCAGCCGCTGCAAAATCATGCCAAAATGTAAAGACCATCGAAACTAGGAATAAACTGCATCAACTAATGAGCAAAATAACCAGCTAACATCATAATGACAGGATCAAATTCACACATAACAATATTAACTTTAAATGTAAATGGACTAAATGCTCCAATTAAAAGACACAGACTGGCAAATTGAATAAAGAGTCAAGACCCATCAGTGTGCTGTATTCAGGAAACCCATCTCACGTGCAGAGACACACATAGGCTCAAAATAAAAGGATGGAGGAAGATCTACCAAGCAAATGGAAAACAAAAAAAAGGCAGGGGTTTCAATCCTAGTCTCTGATAAAACAGACTTTAAACCAACAAAGATCAAAAGAGACAAAGAAGGCCATTACTTACTGGTAAAGGGATCAATTCAACAAGAAGAGCTAACTATCCTAAATATATATGCACCCAATACAGGAGCACCCAGATTCATAAAGCAAGTCCTGAGTGACCTACAAAGAGACTTAGACTCCCATACAATAATAATGGGAGAGTTTAACACCCCACTGTCAACATTAGACAGATCAACGAGACAGAAAGTCAACAAGGATACCCAAGAATTGAACTCAGCTCTGCACCAAGCGGACCTAATAGACTTCTACAGAACTCTCCACCCCGAATCAACAGAATATACATTTTTTCAGCACCACACCACACCTATTCCAAAATTGACCACATACTTGGAAGTAAAGCTCTCCTCAGCAAATGTAAAAGAACAGAAATTATAACAAACTATCTCTCAGACCACAGTGCAATCAAACTAGAACTCAGGATTAAGAATCTCACTCAAAACTGCTCAACTACATGGAAACTGAACAACCTGCTCCTGAATGACTACTAGGTACATAACAAAATGAAGGCAGAAATAAAGATGTTCTTTGAAACCAATGAGAACAAAGACACAACATACCAGAATCTCTGGGACGTATTCAAAGCAGTGTGTAGAGGGAAATTTATAGCACTAAATGCCCACAAGAGAAAGCAGGAAAGATCCAAAATTGACACCCTAACATCACAATTAAAAGAACTAGAAAAGCAACAGCAAACACATTCAAAAGCTAGCAGAAGGCAAGAAATAACTAAAATCAGAGCAGAACTGAAGGAAATAGAGACACAAAAAAACCCTTCAAAAAATTAACGAATCCAGGAGCTAGTTTTTTGAAAGGATCAACAAAATTGATAGACCACTAGCAAGACTAATAAAGAAAAAAAGAGAGAAGAATCAAGTAGACGCAATAAAAAATGATAAAGGGGCTATCACTACCGATCCTACAGAAATACAAACTACCATCAGAGAATACTACAAACAACTCTATGCAAATAAACTAGAAAATCTAGAAGAAATGGATAAATTCCTCGACACATATACTCTCCCAAGACTAAACCAGGAAGAAGTTGAATCTCTGAATAGACCAGTAACAGGAGCTGAAATTGTGGCAATAATCAATAGCTTACCAACCAAAAAGAGTCCAGGACCGGATGGATTCACAGCCGAATTCTACCAGAGGTACAAGGAGGAACTGGTACCATTCCTTCTGAAACTATTCCAATCAATAGAAAACGAGGGAATCCTCCCTAACTCATTTTATGAGGCCAGCATCATCCTGATACCAAAGCCAGGCAGAGACACAACAAAAAAAGAGAATTTTAGACCAATATCCTTGATGAACATTGATGCAAAAATCCTCAATAAAGTACTGGCAAACCGAATCCAGCAGCACATCAAAAAGTTTATCCACCATGATCAAGTGGGCTTCATCCCTGGGATGCAAGGCTGGTTCAATATACACAAATCAATAAATGTAATCCAGCATATAAACAGAACCAAAGACAAAAACCACATGATTATCTCAACAGATGCAGAAAAGGCCTTTGACAAAATTCAACAACCCTTCATGCTAGAAACTCTCAATAAATTAGGTATTGATGGGATGTAGCTCAAAATAATAAGAGCTATCTATGACAAACCCACAGCCAATATCATACTGAATGGGCAAAAACTGGAAGCATTCCCTTTGAAAACTGGCACAAGACAGGGATGTCCTCTCTCACCGCTCCTATTCAACATAGTGTTGGAAGTTCTGGCCAGGGCAATCAGGCAGGAGAAGGAAATAAAGGGTATTCAATTAGGAAAAAAGGAAGTCAAATTGTCCCTGTTTGCAGACGACATGATTATATATCTAGAAAACCCCACTGTCTCAACCCAAAATCTCCTTAAGCTGATAAGCAACTTCAGCAAAGTCTCAGGATACAAAATCAATGTACAAAAATCACAAGCATTCTTATACACCAACAACAGACAAACAGAGAGCCAAACCATGACTGAACTCCCATTCACAATTGCTTCAAAGAGAATAAAATACCTAGGAGTCCAACTTACAAGGGATGTGAAGGACCTCTTCAAGGAGAACTACAAACCACTGCTCAAGGAAATAAAAGAGGATACAAACAAATGGAAGAACATTCCATGCTCATGGGTAGGAAGAATCAATATCGTGAAAATGGCCATACTGCCCAAGGTAATTTACAGATTCAATGCCATCGCCATCAAGCTACCAATGACTTTCTTCACAGTATTGGAAAAAACTACTTTAAAGTTCATATGGAACCAAAAAAGAGCCTGCATCGCCAAGTCAATCCTAAGCCAAAAGAGCAAAGCTGGAAGCATCACACTACCTGACTTCAAACTATACTACAAGGCTACAGTAACCAAAACATCATGGTACTGGTACCAAAACAGAGATATAGATCAATGGGACAGAACAGAGCCCTCAGAAATAACGCTGCATATCTACAACTATCTGATCTTTGACAAACCTGACAAAAACAAGCAATGGGGAAAGGATTCCCTATTTAATAAATGGTGCTGGGAAAACTGGCTAGCCATATGTAGAAAGCTGAAACTGGATCCCTTCCTTACACCTTATACAAAAATTAATTCAAGATGGATTAAAGACTTACACGTTAGACCTAAAACCATAAAAACCCTAGAAGAAAACCTAGGCATTACCATTCAGGACATAGGCATGGGCAAGGACTTCATGTCTAAAACACCAAAAGCAATGGCCACAAAAGCCAAAATTGACAAATGGGATCTAATTCAACTAAAGAGCTTCTGCACAGCGAAAGAAACTACCATCAGAGTGAACAGGCAACCTACAAAATGGGAGAAAGTTTTTGCAACCTACTCATCTGACAAAGGGCTAATAACCAGAATCTACAATGAACTCAAACAAATTTACAAGAAAAAAACAAACAACCTCATCAAAAACTGGGCAAAGGACATGAACAGACACTTCTCAAAAGAAGACATTTATGCAGCCAAAAAACACATGAAAAAATGCTCACCATCACTGGCCATCAGAGAAATGCAAATCAAAACCGCAATGAGATATCATCTCACACCAGTTAGAATGGCAATCATTAAAAAGTCAGGAAACAACAGGTGCTGGAGAGGATGTGGAGAAATAGGAACACTTTTACACTGTTGGTGGGACTGTAAACTAGTTCAACCATTGTGGAAGTCAGTGTGGCGATTCCTCAGGGATCTAGAACTAGAAATACCATTTAACCCAGCCATCCCATTACTGGGTATATACCCATTACTGGGTATATACCCAAAGGACTATAAATCATGCTGCTATAAAGACACATGCACACGTATGTTTATTGCAGCATTATTCACAATAGCAAAGACTTGGAACCAACCCAAATGTCCAACAATGATAGACTGGATTAAGAAAATGTGGCACATATACACCATGGAATACTATGCAGCCATAAAAAATGATGAGTTCATGTCCTTTGTAGGGACATGGATGAAATTGGAAATCATCATTCTCAGTAAACTATCGCAAGAACAAAAAACCAAACACCGCATATTCTCACTCATAGGTGGGAATTGAACAATGAGAACACATGGACACAGGAAGGGGAACATCACATTCTGGGGACTGTTGTGGGGTGGGGGTAGGGGGGAGGGATAGCATTGGGAGATATACCTAATGCTAGATGACGAGTTAGTGGGTACAGCACACCAGCATGGCACATGTATATATATATATGTAACTAACCTGCACATTGTGCACATGTACCCTAAAACTTAAAGTATAATAATAATAAATAAATAAATAAAATAAAATAAGTAAATTTTAAAAAAAAGAAAGAGAATACACAATTTTTTACAGTTTATCAATACAGTGCCCCTCACCCTAACAGGCTAACTTACTGTAAACCACTGAATACAGGGTAAAGAAAATGTTTAGTCATGGGTCTATGCTGACATACAATCGATTTTTAAATTTGCATTATTTTTAAGTGAGACTACTGAAAGCTAAGAAATTAACAATAAAATGGGTCATTGGTAGAAGTAAATCAAATCCTCCCTGAAACTTCACAGGATTCCCACAGCTAAAGGTATGCTGAAAAGAAGCTCACAATCCCCAAATTCTGAAACAGTGTAAGCAAAAGTCAGCAGAATTAGACAATTAAGAATTTCAACAAGTAATCCTATCAGATGATACTATGAAATAAGTATATTTGAAATAATTAATAAAATATAATAAACAGTTAAAAACACCAAAAAAATCCTCAAAATAGAAGATTGGAGAGATTATGGGATGAAATAAAAGTAAAGATTGACTACTAGAAAATTTAAAATCACATCTGTGATTTGCATCTGTAGCTTACGTTATATTTCTATTGGACAGTGCTATTCTAGCGGAATAAGTAATGGGAACCAAAAATAAATAAATATTTTAAAACTGTTATCACTCAACATTTGCATTATATCCTGCCCAAACCTGCTGTTTCTACAATTCAATAAAAGTCAGTAATTATTAACTGTGTGTTATATGCCACATCTCCACAAGAAACTGTGGGGATAAAGTTGAGTAATACATTATCCTTTCCATCAAGGAACTCAGTTCACAGCCTGGTAGGACATACTGGTGAGAACATAATTATCTATCAGAATGCAACAAGTTCAGGATGGGAGCACTGATTTTTTTTTTCTTTCTGAGTAGAAATGGGAAGAGCTAAGACAAGGGAAAAACCCTCTGGAGGAGTTGTGTGAGATATGTAGACCTTGGTAGAAAGAGGGCATTCCACATGGAGGGGACCACACACAAGAGTGGGTCTGCTCAAGAGATAGTGAAAAGCGTCATGTGGCTGAGAGTAAGCTGGATCAGGATAAAAGAGGCTGGAAATTTCGACAGGATCCAGATGAGGAAAGGCCTCGAATGCCAAGCTGCAGGGATTGACTTTGTCTTCTATGTGAATGGACACCCATCAAATACTTTCAAGCAGAAAACATGGTTCGACTGGAATTTTAGAAAGATAACTCTGGCAGAAAAACGGAGGCTAAACTAAAGTGGGGAGACTAGATTCTGGTGGCCTGGGGCATGAGGGATTGGGTGGTTATCAATAGATCCCTGTGACTTTGGGAGCAGCTGAGTCCATAACAGAGTTACTTGGTCTTGCCATTGCTCACACTTAAAAATAAAAAGACATTTTTTTCTGAAATCCTGGTTAGAACTTCTTTAGTCTCCTATTCAAGGCTAGCTTGACAACATTTTATTTCTGGTTGCTCAATAATCAATTGTTCAGGAAAAAAAAAAGCTTTTGTCTATTCTTAGAGAGCACTCAATCCACTTACGGCTTGAACTGGTTATAGGCAGTTAACTCTTAATTTTGCTAAATTCCTTTTTCAGGATTGATATGAAACAGCTCTGAATAAGGGTGAGTTGTACATGAAACTTATTCCTCAACATCCTCTCTGCAGGTGAACCAGTGTCAGAGGTGTCTGAACCAGAGCAACTCCATCTTGAATAGGAGCTGGGTAAAATGAGGCTGAGACCTACTGGGCTGCATTCCCAGGTGGTGAAGGCATTCTAAATCATAGATGAGATAGGAGGTCAGCACAAGATACAGGTCATAAAGACCTTGCTGATAAAACAGGCTGCAGTAAAGAAGCCAGCCAAAGCCTACCAAAACCAACATGGCCACGAGAGTGTCCTCTGTCCTCACTGCTACACTCCCACCAGTACCATGACAGTTTACAAATGCCACGGCAAGATCCGGAAGTACCCTATATGGTCTAAAAAGGGGAGGTATTAATAATCCACCCCTTGTTCAGCAAAAGAAATAACCATAAAATGAGCAACCAGCAGCCCTCAGGCTGCCCTGTGGAGTAGCGATTCTTTTATTCCTCTACTTTCCTAATGAACTTGCCTTTGCTTTGCACTGTGGACTCATCCTGAATTCTTTCTTGGAGTATGAGCCCTCTCTTGGGGTATGGATC